>NC_000005.10:179672911-179823356 GCF_000001405.40 Homo sapiens | reverse complement strand
GTAGCTGGGACTAGAAGCATGTACCACCACACCCGGCTAATTTTTGTATTTTTAGTAGCGACAAGGTTTCACCATGTTGGCCAGGCTGTTCTTAAACTCCTGACCTCAGGTGACCTGCCCGCCTCGGCCTCCCAAAGTGCTGGAATTACAGGCGTGAGCCACACCTGGCCTATGTCTCTGTCTTAAACAGCCCTCAAATTGCTGACCCCTTCATTGGTGGAACATCGAGCCCTGTTTTTTACTCAGCAGGGAACTGAGTACAAGCTGAGCTGGCTTCAGGCAGCCCCCAGAGCAGCCCCTTACCTTTAATGTAGATTCGGAAGATGTCATCCTTCACGTAGGACATGGCCATTGTCAATTCCTCGTCACTGGAAAAGGCAACCAAGTCCCCGTCCTCATCTAGATTGTTTAAAAGACAGCACGTGAGCACCCAGGGGTTCTCAGCTGGACATAAGCTGCTGGAATGGGCTGAGGCAAGTATGAAAGGGACACTCACAGGGCTATAAACAAACACACCTACTTGAGCCACAGAGGGCAGGAGTGAGAGGCAAGACTACCCCCTTGCTCTGGCACCTCCTGGAAGGTGAGTGCTCCGACCTGGGCCCTGGACCACAGCCACATGCAGGGGGCGGAGGGCCTGTGCACAGGGGCAGCAGCTTTGGCTGCTGCACTTATTTAGCCTTGGGCCAGCTGCCTTTTCAGAAACGTGCCACCTCATTCCCCATCCGACCAGGCCCATGTCCGTCTTCAACTGTGGGAGATCCCTGCCTGTGACCTGCTCCTGAGGGGCCCAGCCCCACAAAGGCCTTAGACTTCTAGTGGCTTGGGAGTAAAGGAGAAGACAAGGGCATCTGCCTGCTTCCTTCCCTAACAAAGCTGAAAGACACGTATTTGTATGTAGTCTCCATTTGTGACAGATACATATGAGCTGAAATGGCTTTAAAGCACAGCTGTGCAGACCAAACCACGCCATCCACCGAGGGCACAGGTGAGGCACCCAAAGATGCAAACAACCCAAATGTCTGTCAACTAATGAACAGGTAAACAAAACATGGCCTGTCCACACAACAGAATATTATTCCTCCAAAAAAAACTAGTTCTGATATGTGCCACAACACTGAACACATTACACTAAGTGAAAGAAACCACTTGCAAGACTACATTGTCTGATTCTATTTACATGAAATGTCCAGGATTGCAAGATGAATAGATACAGAAAGGAGGTTGCTGGGGGCATGTGGATAAGAGGGTGATAAAAGGTATGTATGGCGTTTATAAGGTGATGAAAAGCTCTCACACTGAATATGGTCCACAAACCTATGAAAATAGTGAAAACCACTGACTTGTACACTAAATGGGTGAACCCTTATTTCAGTTACAGCTCAATAACATCACAATTTTTTTTTTTTTAAGAATAGGAGAGGGCCTGGTATGCTGGCAGCGCTCCAGAGGGAGGTCCTAGCACTGCACCCTCCCAGGGGCCGGCCTTGGCCACCTCCCGCCCTCCTGGCCACAACCACCTCCCTAACCCCACCCCCAGCAGCCACTGGTCACACCAGCGCAGCAGGAAACAGGGCTTCTGTGCCAACACCAACACTTCTGAAGAACGTTCTCGTCCACTTGCCAATGGGAAAACATCTGTACTCGACCTGGCTCGGAGCGTTCCGCCGGCGATCCGTGCCCTTCTCCCAGGCGCTGTCGCGGCGCTCGCGAGTCCCCCGCACCCCCGCGCTTGTTTACCCGCGTCACTCCCTCCCCTCGCCGGCGCTCGCCCGGCTCCTCCAGGGCATTATCTGAACCCACCACCTGGCGCAGCAAGGTGTCAGTGTAACCCGAGTGCCCGCCTGACCACCCAGTGCCCGCGGAGAGCCAGAGCGTTCGCCCCGGCGCGTCCTTGCCAAAATCCCCAACAGCGCGGGGGGTGGAGCGGGGCGTCTGACGCCCCCAGGCTCGAGCCCCCGGCCGGCAGGGCTCCACCGCCCCAGGGGGCCGACGCTGAGCAGCGGGTCCCGGCCTTGGTCACCACTCCAGTCACCAGGCCGGCTCCCATGGCCGAACTGGGGACCCATGCAGGCCACCGCCATCCAGGGAGCAGCCAGCGCAGACCCCCTCACGGCCCGCCAGGCGTCGCCGAGAAGGGAGGGGGCAGCCACCCCGCGGCAGGAGGCCGTGTCCGGCCTGCGTCACCGCCCCCGCCGCTCCCCGGCCCGCTCACCGCGGTAGTGCGCCTGGAAGCCGCCAGGCCGCAGCGCGGGGAACAGGGCGGCCACCCGGCTCAGCAGCCGCTCGCAGGGTCCCGGACCCGCCGCAGCCTCGGCTTCCGCCTCAGGCTCGGGGCTGCAGCAGAAGCTGAAGCGGCGAATCTCGCGCGCCGCGTCCTCCTTGCCCAGAAGGTAGGCCTTCACGGTGAGCGACGCCATAGCGAGCGGCGAGCTGGCGGAAAACGGGCCGTCCCGGTCGCAGCCGCCGCGCGGCTTTTGTAGCGAACGCGGAGGCCCCGCCCCGCCTCGAGAGGGGCGGAGTCTCTCGCGCCCTCCCCGCCCCCGCCACCGTCGTCGCGGCGCGAGAGCCGCCCTGCAGAGGCCCCTTCACTACTCTCCCCTTCCCCGCTACCCCTCGCTCCAGGTCTCCCGGCCCCCTCATTGCTGACCCCTCTCTTCATTGCCCCGGTGCACCAAGGACCCCAGGAAACCGGCCCTGGCACTCATACAGGCCTGGGCTCCAGCCTCTGCACCTGGGATCAGGGTACTGGCGGGGGTCCAGCCCCTCGCCCCTCCCAGGCTTGGGCCTGGCCATGACTCAGCAATATCCTCAGTTGGGGGTACCCAGTGCAGGGAGAGGGGGACACAGCCCCCATATCAGGAGGCTGCTAGGTCGCCCAGTGGGCACTGCTGGCCAGAACAAGCTGGCTCTCAGGTTGCTGTTCCGACCCTGCCATGGTCAGCCTGCCGCGGTGGCAGCCCTCTTACAGCGCATGGCATCCTCGGTGATGGGCAGCGCATAGCATACTCGGTGACGGACCCCGACTCTGGCCTGAGCACCAGAGAAGTTCCCAGTTTAGTAGGAGTGGAGTTGAGAGGTGCTGGAGGACCAGCTAAGGTCTCCTGAGTGTCAGTGGTCGCCAAGTGTTCACTGTGGTCCAAGTGACTCCTTATGGGCTCCTCAATTCAGCAGGTAATGCCCATGGCCCTGTGGGGGCTCAGGCCCGTTGGCCTTGTGGGCAGCCAAGGGGGTCAGCCAACAGCCTCCTCAGCTAGGAAGGAAGAAACACTGCTTTATGCCACCAGAGTAACCTGTCCGCCAGAACTGGGGCAAGGAGAGGGGCAGGACGAGTGGTCACCCTCTGGAGCCTCCCAGGCAAGGTCCTGTGAGTAGGAGGTCAGAACCTGCTGGGTCCAACTCATGCCATTTCAGCCCAGGGCTTGCAGGAGCTGGAGAAACCTCCCAGGGGAGGAAACCCAGAGGGAGGCAAGAGTGGCTGGATGGGGCCAGTCAGGTGCGAAGGTGATGTGTGGGTGTGCGCACAGCAGGGGCTGGTCCACAGGTGTGAATGATCCTTCCCGGAGGGCTCCGAAGTGGGCAAGGCTTCCACCCTGCCCAGAGCAGCCCTGTGGAGAGGGTTCAGGCCTCTCCCTGCATCCGGCGGTGGAGAGTGGAAAATGCCCCAGGGCCTGCTGGAGCCACTGCCTTGCAGACAGGGGCAGGGGACACAGAGGGGCGTGCTGGCAGAGGCTGTGGCCTACAGACAGGTGCTGGCCAAGCGTGACTCAGCAGCCCAGGCGCCTGAGAGCCACGTGGCCCCCGCCGAGGGCCGGCTTTCCTGCCCCAGCCCCCGGCTATGGCCCGGTCTGAGCAGGGTGAGGGACACAAGGAAGGCCTGTGGCTCTGGGAACATAGCTTTGAGGAAGCGCTCAAGGCGCCCCACTCACCCCCAAGAAGGAGCTCCTTTGCTTTCTCGCCATTTGGCCCGTTTGGGATCGCGGGAAGTTTCCGCGGGGGCTAGGGGCATGTGAAGAGACTGGGGGGGGGGCGGGGAGGGGAGAAGGAAGCACAGAAGAGGGAGTCTTTGGGAAGCTGGGGTGGACACCCGGCTCTGGCCCTTCCCCGCACGCCTTGCGGCCCCAGCGGCCGCCCTGCCCCCACGCGAGGCCGAGGCCTCCCGGAGGTAAACAAGGCGCGGCGGGAACCCCCTGGCAGGGCCCTCTCCTCCCGCCGCGGAGGTCAGGTGGTCTGGCCGGCAGTGAGTCAGCGTCCCATGACCGCTGTCGTAATAGGGGGATCCCCGGCCCCTGCTGCCACCCATCTCAGTGACCTCTTACCTGGAGGCTGGGCTGGGGAGTGGCTCCGGGGTCACCGTGAGTCCCCTGAGCAGGAAGAGCGTGCAGCGGCTGGAGCCAGACAGACACTCTCCCCCTTCTCGCCTCTGACTCCTTCCCCTTTCCCGATGCAGTCCCACCCCGCAGGCTCCCCGCGTCCACTGGCCCCTTCCCACCCTCCAGGGCCCGGCGTGCATGCCCAGGGAAGGCTCGGCACCTGAGCCGCGAGACCCACTATGGACCAGCCTCTCATTTCCTCATCTTTCAAATGGGGCTGAAGTGGAAGGATTTGGGCTGCCCTCCCAGGCGATGCCCCGTGGGTGTGCGAGTTGTTTAGCTGCTTTTGGGGCTGTAAGCTGGGGGGTCAGGGCAGGACAGAGACTGCAGGGGGGCTGAGGTGGAAGAGTGGGGAGGGCAGGAGAGGCCTGAGCCAAGCGCCCAGTGGTCCCAGGAGACCAGCCGGGGCAGCCACAGGGGTGGTCTGGTTCTGTCTGTTGCTGCCCAGCATGTTGTAACCACCTCCTCAGTTCCCCCTTCCCCCCTCCCAAATAATCCTATGCCTTGGCAGTGGTGTTCCCAGGTTCGCTTCTTTTCTTTGGGGCGTGGAGTCAAGTGTCCGCGTGGGTGCTGGGGCAGCCAGAGACAAGGCCACTGAGGGATTCAGGCCGCACTGCTCTGGGCCATCTTTAGGGAGATTGACAATCACAGGGGACACAGGGGATGAGTTCCTCTACAGAGGTCCTGGTCTGTGCGGGGGCCTCCAGGCCTTCTGCGCTGCAGCCACTCCCTTCCACTCACATGGGAGGGCCACAGCCCTCCCTTGCCATCTTCCTAATCATGCCAGCTCATTCTACCTGGTGACTTTTCCCTGGCTCTCCCTCTGGTCCAAAACCCTTTCCACTCCTGCCCTACATGGCAACTTCCCACCCTAAATGTCTCCTCCTCAGCGGGGCCTTCCTTGACCACTCCCTAGGAAAAATCCCCAGGCACTGGACATCACTTTTTTTTTTTTTTTTTTTTTTTTTTTTGAGACAGTCTCTCTCTGTCACCCAGGCTGAAGTGCAGTGGCACGATCTCAGCTCACTGCAACCTCTGCCTCCCAGGTTCAAGCAATTCTCCTGCTCCTGCCTCAGCCTCCCAAGTAGCTGGGACTACAGGTGCCTGCCACCAAGCCTTGCTAATTTTTGTATTTTTAGTAGAGATGGGTTTCACTATGTTGGCCAGGATGGTCTTGAACTCCTGACTTCAGGTGATCCGCCCACCTCGGCCTCCCAAAGTGCTGGGACTGCAGGCGTGAGCCACCCGCCCGGCCAGGCATCACCCCCTTTTAGCCCTTTCAGACAAGCCCAAAGCCCAGGCAAGAGGCACGGGGGCCATGGGAGGGGCACGCCCACAAGGGGTTTGCAAAGATCTTTCTAAAAGAAAAGGAGTTCAAGTCATGGACAGACATGGTTAGAGAATTCAGTGATGCCAAGTTGTCAGGCCTGAGAGCCCCAGGGACCCTCTCCTACTGGAAGGCCAGAGCTGCAGAAAGAGGTCCCCTGGGCTGGGCGAATTTCTCCAAATAAATTCAAACATGGCCTGCCTCGGGACGGGGGCGAGACCCTGGGCCCTCAGGGGCACTGAGGGGTCGTCCATGCCGGGGGACATGGCCACTTGGGGGCGGCCCTCGTCAACCGCGGAGTGGGGAAAAGGGGGGAGGGATGGAGGACGAACGCCCGGCGGTGTCTAAAGGCACGACGCGGAGCAGGAACCACAGCCCTGGTCCCCAGAAAGCGCGCGCGGCCCGGGGCAGAACCTGCCGAAGTTCCAGCTCGGGGCGCAAGGGATGTGGGGGTCACTGGAAGACGGGGCGCGGGCCGCCCGTGGGGAGGAGACTGGACCCGAACCCGGCCCACCCCACCCGAGCGGCGACGCCAGCGCTGACCCCAGGCGTGTCCCGGCCCCCGGCGCGGCTCCGGCCCAACCGTGCACGCCCGCGGAAGGCCTCGCACCCGCGTCAGAAGTGGCCTGCCCGGGGCCACCGGCCCGCAAGTCCCCGGTGTTCTCGAGGTCCCTGCCCCGTCCCGCGCGGCTGTAGCCGGCGGGAGGGGCTGAGAGGCGGGTCGCGCTGGGACCTAAGGCGCCGCCCCCTCGCCAGCCTCTCCCTCCCTCCGTCACCGGGTGGCCGGAGACCCGGGGGCACTGCTGGGGTACCCCAAAGCATAGGGCCAGCCTGAGTGCGCAAGGTCCTGAAAAGACGGGGGGGCGGCGACAAGGAGTAGGGAGGGGGGCTGGAGGAAGACGGCAAAGTGACCCCGGAAGGGTCCAGGCGCCCCAAGCCCATCGAAGACGGGAGGCTCTCAGTGGCGCCTGGGGGGACTGTGGGAAAAGCAGCTCAAGAAGGGGAATCTGGAGCGAGGTGGGGGAGAGGTCGGCATGGCCTTCTCTAGGAGCGCCAGCGCCAGACAGAGCGGTGACAGGCCGCACCGGGAGTACCCCGTCTATACTGAACGGGTCAGGAGTGTGGGATCCCGTGGAGGGGCTGCCCTTGCAGCAGGAGCGATGGCCCTCTCGCTCCCCTCCACCTGCTGCCATCGAAAACCTTCTGGAAGAGGCCAGGCGCGGTGGCTCACACCTGTAGTCCCAGCACTGGGAGGCCGAGGTGGGCGGATCACGAGGTCAGGAGTTCGAGACCAGCCTGGCCAACAGAGTGAAACCCCATCTGTACTAAAAATTAAAAAAATTAGTTGGGCGTGGCGGCAGGTGCCTGTAGTCCCAGCTAGTCGGGAGGCTGAGGCAAGAGAATTGCTTGAGCCTCGGAGGCGGAGGTTGCAGTGAGCTGACATGGCGCCACTGCACTCCAATCTTGGTGCCTCAACAAAACAAAACAAAACAAAGAAAACCTTCTGGAAGAATTATCCTCCTTTGAGGATCTAACCCTTCTTGCTCCCAATGCTTCCCAGCAGGGCCCGCACCCCAGGACGGGTACTTACCGCAGTCCCCCACCTCCAGCTCTGCACACT
This sequence comes from Homo sapiens, assembly GCF_000001405.40. Lineage (NCBI taxonomy): Eukaryota > Metazoa > Chordata > Mammalia > Primates > Hominidae > Homo > Homo sapiens. The sequence goes on along the minus strand of NC_000005.10, from coordinate 179,816,035 downwards.
CGCAGCCCAGTGCCCGCTCTTCCCCCTCAGCCTCCCGACGAGACTCAGCTCTTCGACCTCCCTGCGAGTCCCTGTGCACCCACTTTGTTCTGTGCCTGTCCCTGCCCTGACTATGTGGGCTCAGGTAGTTTTGTGGGGTGTGTGGATGTTGCGTGGGAGTGTATGTGTGCCCCGTGTGTCCCATGTGTTATAACCCTGATGCTCTGGAGCAGAAGGCGTGGGGTCATCTGTGGATAAAGGCTGGTATTGAAGCAGGGTCCCCCACCTGTGTTAGGCCACCACATACTCTTGCGTAAAAGTAGGGTGAGGTAAACCCCATGGCCAAAGCTTGGCCAACCAGAGCACTGTAGCACCCTGGTCAGGGATGGACATGTGACCCACGCTGGCGGACGAAATGCACACTGGGGTCATCTGGAAGCAGGAGCCTTGGGGAGGGGGGAATCCTGAGCAGATCAAAGCTTGATCTCAGTATCTGACCCCTGGATCCAGGCTGGCCTAATGCTGGGTTATAAAACGGCTTAAGCCAGTTGATTGTGGTTTTCGTCAATTGTATCCAAGAGTAGTGACCCATGACGTATACCCCATGCCTGCTCCAGGTTTTCTTTTCTTTTTTTTTTTCGAGACAGAGTCTTGCTCTGTTGCCCAGGCTGGGGTACAGTGGCTTGATCTCTGCTCACTGCAACCTCCACCTCTCGGATTCAAGCAATTCTTGTGCCTCAGCCTCCCAAGTAGCTGGGATTACAGGCGCCCACCACCATATCTGGCTAATTTTTGTATTTTTAGTAGAGACGGGGTTTCACCATGTTGGCCAGGCTGGTCTTGAACTCTTGGCCTCAAGTGATCCACCCACCTCAGCCTCCCAAAGTACTGGGATTACAGGCGTGAGCCACCACACCCGACCTGCTCTAGGGTTCCTGATGGCAGTGATGGTCACAATACAGGCCAGAAACAGTCACAATACAAGCCAGAAACCTGGGAGTCAGCTATGACCATATGCTCCCCCTCAAGCCACCAGCAGTTCCTGTTGATTGTACTTTCTGGCAATAGCAACAGTAATAATACACACGTAGCACATCTTTTATGCTAGGAAACATTCTAAATATTTTAATTTTTAGAGACAAGGTCTCACTTTGGTCCCCAGTCTGGAGTGCCGTGGTATGATCATGGATCACGGCAACCATGATCTTCTTGGGCTCAAGCGATCCTCCCGCCTCGGCCTCCTAAAGTGCTGGGATTAGAGGCGTGAGCCACCTCACCCAGCTTGAATATTTTTCTGCATTTAACTCACCTGTTCCCTTGAGGTGAGACCATGTGATTAATTCTGGCCAAGGACCTGAGCCAGAAGAGCCATATATCACCTATACGCCAAGCATTTATTTATTTGCCAGTGCTAAAGCTTCTAGAGCTCTCTTTCTCTTTGCCAAGAAAGCCTTTGATTTCCACATGGTTATGCCTGTAGCCAGGGCAGGAACTACAATGAGCAGAGACCCCAGGGGACCCTTGAAGGGTATACAGCTTTGAGTATACTTTTATTAGATCAGAGAAATTTGGGGTTGTTAGAGCAGCATAATCCAGCCTATCCTGACTGATTATCCCCACAGGCATAGAAGGGACTAAGTTGCTGTTAACCGACGGAAGCAGAATTGTGAACCCAGAAGGGCCATTCCCTAGGACATCTTGACCTCAGTGATGTACATTCTCCAAAGACTGTCCTGAATCTATCTACTTCTCCTAACTCCATTCCCTACCCCTCTGACCCTCCATTCCAGACTTTCTCCTGGATGGTTATGTCAGGGAGGAAAAGCTTTTCCTCTGCCCTCTTAGATTCAGCATCTGGGGCCTGCAAATTAAACTGACAAAAGACAAATTAGCAAGAGAAACGGAGTTGTATAGCTTTCTGTTTTTTGTTTGAGATGGAGTCAGTATTGCACAGGCTGGTCAGGAACTCTTATGGTCAGAGGATCCTCCCACCTCTGCCTCTCAAGTACCTGGGACTACAGGCTCACGCCACCACCCCGATAGACATTTTTATTCGTGTACTAGGAGGTTAGAATTGAGAGCTCGTAAACCAACAAAAGGTTGGGGGAAAGGGCACTTGGGGAAAACAAAGGACTTCTAGGAAAGATAATATGCTAGTTTTGTGACAGTGTCTGTTTGCCTGTGGTGCCATGTCTGGGGATGAGTCCCTTGTGCTCCCAGGGAGGGGGCTTATCTCTGTTTCCTCTTATTCTCTCCAGCCCCTTTCCATGCCTGCCCAAAAGGTTATATTTTATTTTATTTTGAGAAAAGGTCTCACTCTGTGGCCCAGGCTGAAGTGCAGTGGCAATTAGAGCTCACTGTAACCCAGGAGTCAAGTGATCCTCCCGCCTCACCCCCTGAGCAGCTAGGACTACAGGTACATGCCAACATGCCTGGCTTTTATTATTGTTTTTTTTTTAATTTCTCACAGAGAGGAGGGTCTCGCTGTGTTAACCACGCTGGTCTGAAGCTCCTGGCTTTGTGTGGCAAATGCTCATTTTAAAATACAAATACAACCTCAGCCTCCACTCCTCTTCTTGTTTTAGACTTTATGCACAGCTTCAAAGGTCAAAACCCAAATTCAATTCCCAACACTGTGTACTAGGTCCTGCAAGCTGTGCTCTGCCCTGCCCAGGTCTGCCCCAGGGCCAGCTTTCCTGGTACTCATGAACCACCTCCCGCTACCCAGGCGGCCCCTACAGGCACGGTTAATTTTCCCATTACAAGTTGTCAGAGTCCCATGGACTCTGATAAGGTGGCTGTGGATGGGACTATAGTAAGACAGTGAGGAGGTCAATGTCAGTGCACATGTGTTTGTATCATTAGTGACATGTGTGTTTGGTACATGGTGAATATACAGAACATTTGCTATGAATGAAACACCCAGCTGCCAGGTGAGGTGAGGCTTTAGGGCAGGGCTTCCAAACTTTTACTGTGCCAGGGACACCCTTGGCATCTGCAGAAGATGAAGGACCCCTGGTTAGAAACATGCTTTTTTCTTTTTCTTTTCTTTTTTTTTTGGGGGGGGGGGGACCATGTTTTGAATGCATTACATTACCAAAAAAATTAATATTGAAATGCAAAAGTCAAAATATAAAAACACGGCCATTTGCTCTTTTCCTAGACTAGCTATGGCTGGGCCTGGTCAAGCTTTGGGAGGCTGAGGCTGTGGAGTTCCAACCCTCAACCTTGGAAGAGCTGTCTTGGAGGCAGGCAGGTCCAGAGCCCCACGTGCCATGGGACCTAAACCGAGAGCAAGCCTGGGCCTGGGCACTGGAGAACTTCCCTGTGCTGAGCCGCCACTCCTGCCAATGCCATCAGCTCTACGGGAGCACTGCTGCGAGCTGGCTGCTGCACTGCACCTCTACTGGGCACGGAGCCCTTCCCGGATATGAGAGGGGCCAAAAATGGCCTCGACACTTCCATGTCCAGAAGTCAATGGCTGAAACCATAGACGGGCTCCAGTCACCTCAAGAAGACGCAGATGCTACCGATGGTGAGGTCCAAAGCGGCCTGAAGCAGCCTGGAGATGCCAGCGCCTGCGGAGGTGGAAGTACACACGCCCAGGGCGCCTTCTGCAGTCCAGGCGGCCTCCGGAAGCTGCTGAAAACCTAGGATTCCATCAGGAAGGAACCGCTGAAAACCTAGGATTCCATCAGGAAGGAACCCGAAAAGGAGAGGAACCCCAGCCTTTCTGCAGGCCTGCAGTACGACCCGCTTCAACTGCTGCCCTGGAAGGAGCCCGAGGCACCCAGTGGGGGCCCTCATGCCGTGCCTGCGGACATTTGCACTGGAACTGTGCCCTGCATGCATAACAGCCTTGAGGTCTGTGCGGTGGAGATCATTCCTTAATCTGTTCTTTCTCTCCTGAGCGTCCTAAACATTTTTCATTTAGAAAAACTTTCTTCATGGAGGGGTGGGCGCGGTGGCTCACGCCTGTAATCCCAGCACTTTGGGAGGCCGAGGCGGGCGGATCATGAAGTCAGGAGATCGAGACCATCCTGGCTAACACGGTGAAACCCCGTCTCTACTAAAAATACAAAAAATCAGCCGGGCGTGGTGGCGGGCGCCTGTAGTCCCAGCTACTCAGGAGGCTGAGGCAGGAGAATGGTGTGAACCCGGGAGGTGGAGCTTGCAGTGAGCCGAGATGGCGCCACTGCACTCCAGCCTGGGCGACAGAGAACCGCCGTTCGCCCATCCGTCCAGAAGTAAGGAAAAGGCCACGGAGACCAAGGGGGTGGGGTCACGGTTTCCCCTCCCCTCCCCCTCAGAAGTCCGAAGATAAATAGGCTTAGAAAGAGAGGAAAAAAATTTCTTGGTTTGCATCTCACTCACCCTTTCTCAAGCCCCATGTTGCACGCCAAACTGTTGTAGGACTTTCTCCTTAGTTCAGCTAAAAGCCAGGTTCTTGTGCAGCGGCCATGAGAGATTAATCTCGCAGACACTTTGAAGAGTGAGAAAAATGGAATTTATTGGGCAAGAAGGAAAAAAAGGGAAACAGGGACTCTCAGCAAAGCGAGAGAGAGTCCCGCTAGCTGGTTTCTCGCCTCCCAGATAGAATCCCAAGTTCCACCCCGAACATGAGACCAAGCTCCTCCCCCCTGCATAGCTCCTCCCCCTGCATAGCTCCTCCCCCTGCATGCTCCTCCCCCTGCATAGCTCCTCCCCCTGCATAGCTCCTCCCCCTGCAAAGCTCCTCCCCCCTGCAGAGCTTCTGTGGCTCTACCCAGTTCTTCCAGTGCTTAGGCAGGTGTGGGAGTTTCTCCTGGACCTCTTTTTTTTTTTGAGACGGAGTCTCGCTCTGTCGCCCAGGCTGGAGTGCAGTGGTGCGATCTCGGCTCACTGAAAGCTCCGCCTCACAGGTTGAAGCTATTCTCCTGCCTCAGCCTCCCGAGTAGCTGGGACTACAGGTGCCCGCCACCACTCCCGGCTAATTTTTAGTAGAGACGGGGTTTCACCGTGTTAGCTAAGATGGTCTCGGTCTCCTGACCTCGTGATCCGCCCGTCTCGGCCTCCCAAAGCGGGACCCCTTTAGACTTGGCTGTCTCACTTGGATTACAGGCGTAGGCCACAGTGCCCAACTGAGTCACTTTTTTTTTTTCCTTAAAAAAATTGTTGGCCCGCAGACACATGAAAAAATGCTCAGCATCACTGGCCATCAGAGAAATGCAAATCAAAACCACATTGAGATAGCATCTCACACCAGTTAGAATGCCAATCATTAAAAACCCAGGAAACAACAGGTGCTGGAGAGGATGTGGAGAAATAGGAATGCTTTTACACTGTTGGTGGGACTGTAAACTAGTTCAACCATTGTGGAAGTCAGTGTAGCGATTCCTCAGGGATCTAGAACTAGAAATGCCATTTGACCCAGCAATCCCATTACTGGGTATATACCCAAAGGATTATAAATCATGCTGCTATAAAGACACATGCACACGTATGTTTATTGCGGCACTATTCACAATAGCAAAGACTTGGAACCAACCCAAATGTCCATCAATGATAGACTGGATTAAGAAAATGTGGCACATATACACCATGGAATACTATGCAGCCATAAAAAAGAATGAGTTCATGTCCTTTGTAGGGACACGGATGAAGCTGGAAACCATTCTGAGCAAACTATCACAAGGACAGAAAACCAAACACCGCATGTTCTCACTCATAGGTGGGAATTGAACAATGAGAACACTTGGACACAGGGTGGGGAACGTCACACACTGGGGCCTGTCGTGGGGTGGGGGAAGAGGGGAGGGATAGCATTAGGAGATATATCTAATGTAAATGATGAGTTAATGGGTGCAGCATACCAACCGGGCACATGTATACATATGTAACAAACCTGCAAATTGTGCACATGTACCCTAGAACTTAAAGTAAAATAAAAAATTAAAAAATAAAAATTTAAATTTAAATTAAAAAAAAATTGTTGGCCCGGTGCGTTGGCTCACGCCTGTAATCCCAGCACTCTGAGGGGCCAAAGTGAGCAGATCACCTGAGGTCAGGAGTTGGAGACCAGCCTGGACAACATGGTGAAACCCCATCTCTACTAAAAATACAAAAATTAGGCTGGGCGCCGCCGGTGGCTCACACCTGTAATCCCAGCACTTTGGGAGGCTGAGGCAGGTGGATCACCTGAGGTCAGGAGTTCGAAACCAGCCTGACCAACATGGTGAAACCCCATCTCTACTAAAAATATAAAAATTAGCCGGGTGTGGTAGCACACGCCTGTAATCTCAGCTACTCAGGTGGCTGAGGCAGGAGAATCGCTTGAACCCGGGAAGCGGAGGTTGCAGTGAGCCCAGATCACTCAACTGCACTCCAGCCTGGGCCAGGGAGCAAGACTCCGTTTCAAAAAAAAAAAAAAAAAAAAAAAAGGGCCAGGCGCAGTGGCTCATGCCTGTAATCCCAGCACTTTGGGAGGCTGAAGCAGGTGGATCACGAGGTCAGGAGTTTGAGACCAGCCTGACCAACATGGTGACACCCTATCTCTACTAAAAATACAAAAAAATTAGCCGGGCTTGGTGCCGTGCACCTGTAATCCCAGCTACTCAGGAGGATGAGGCAGCAGAATTGCTTGTATCCAGGAGGTGGAAGTTGCAGTAAGCCGAGATTCTGCCATCGCACTCCAGCCTGGGCGACATAGCGAGACTCTGTCTCAAAAAAAAAAAAAAAAAAAAAAAAAAAAATTAGCCAGGCGTGGTGGCGGGCGCCTATAATCCCAGCTACTCGGGAGGCTGAGGCAGGAGAATCGCTTGAACCTGGGAGGCTGAGGTTGCAGTGAGCCGAGATGGTGCCACTGCACTCCAACCTGGGCGACAGACCGAGACTCCGTCTTAAAAAAAAAAAAAAAAAAAAAGGCCGGGGTGGTGACTCACGCCTGTAATCCCAGCATTTTGGGAGGCCGAGGCAGGTAGATCACGAGGTCAGGAGATCGAGACCATCCTGGCTAACACGGTGAAACCCCGTCTCTAATAAAAATACAAAAAATCAGCCGAGCGTGGTGGTGGGTGCCTGTAGTCCCAGCTACTCGGGAGGCTGAGGCAGGAGAATGGGGTGAAGGTGGGAGGCGGAGCTTGCAGTGAGCCCAGATAGTGCCACTGCACTCCAGCCTGGGCGACAGAGCAAGACTCCGTCTCAAAAAAAAAAATAAGATAAACTAAAAATAAATAAATAAATAAATAAAATTACAAAAAAATCCAAAAAAATTTGTTTTAAAATTTTTAATGAGATGAGGTGTCACTATGTTGCCCAGGCTGGTCTTGAACTGATGAGCTCAAATGATCCTCCTGCCTTAGCCTCTCAGAGTGCTGGGATTACAGGCATGAGCCACCACACCCGGCTAATTTTTTGTATTTTTTAGTAGAGACGGGGTTTCACCGTGTTAGCCAGGATGGTCTCGATCTCCTGACCTCGTGATTCGCCTGCCTCGGCCTCACAAAGTGCTGGGATTACAGGCATGAGCCACCGCGCCCGGCCTCTGGGTGACTAAGTTTTAACATTAAGTAACTCATTAACAATTTCTAAGGCCCTTTATGTCACAACCTAAGTGAAAAGCCATTATCCTTTGCCACAAATAGAAGACACCTGTGAAAACACGACAGTTTCCTCTAGAAGGCTCCTATAAGTCCCAGTCTCTAGTTCGGAAAGTTCCAGGAGCACTGAGTGGGGAGCCCTCTCCTTTAACAGGGGGCCTCAGGATCCAGCCCACTTCAACCTCTGGCTCGGCCACCCCCTTCTTGGCATCAATCTCTCTGTCCAGACCCCTCGAAGCTCCCGATTCCACTCAGCCCCAGGTGTGGGCCGGGGCTGAACTAGGAAGACAAAGCCGCATTCAATCTCAGTCTGAGTCCAGCCCCTCGGGCCTCCCCCGGGCGGGTGGGGCAGAGGTCCCTGCAGCCTCCACCAGGAACCGGGCCCCTAGGTCTGGGAGGTCCAAGCCGGCAGCGGGCCAGGCGCTGCCCAAAGCCTGCCCAGAGGCGGCGCTGGGCCAGTCCCTTTATAATTTGCGCCCTTCCTGGTTCCACAGAGGATTGAGGAACGCCTGAAATTAGAACGCAAATGGGCCGTGCGTGGTGGCTCACGCCTGTAATCCCAGCACTTTGTGAGGCCGAGGCGGGCGGATCACAAGGTCAGGAGTTCGAGACCAGCCTGGCCAATACGGTGAAACCTCGTGTCTACTAAAAATACAAAAATTAGCCAGGTGTGGTGGCGGCCGCCTGTAGTCCCAGCTACTCGGGAGGCTGGGGCAGGGGAATCGCTTGAACCCGGGAGGCGGAGGGTGCAGTGAGCCGAGATTGCGCCACTGCACTGCAGCCTGGGCAACAGAGCGAGACTCCGTCTCAAAAACAAACAAACAAAAAACAACAAAAAACAACAACAACAAAAAAACAATGAAGGCGTGGGCCCCCATCAATATCGGGCTGGGCTGGGCGGGGCGAGGTGGCCCCTACACCACCGGGGGCAGGGCCCGTTGCTCCCGTTAGCGGCGCTCTCGGGCCGCCCCTGCCCCGGGAAGCCGGTACGGTTCTGGGCTGGTCACTGCTCTGCATCCACGAGCATCGGCCCTGATACCGCCTAGAAAGGCCCATCGTTCCCGCCTCCCGGGCCCCTGCGCGCCTCCGTCCAGAGGCCCAGAGGAAGCTCCTGAGCGGGGAAGCGCCCTGGGCGGCAGCGAAGGCAGCGGTCGCTCCCGGCTTCAACCGCCCAGTCCCCCGCGCCACCCAGAGCCCCTCACGCCCGGGAAAGAGCCCCGAGAACGTGCGAATGGGGTCGGGGTCCGCGCGCGGAGGAGATGTTGCTGAGAAGGGTACCGGGGTCCCGGAGCGCCGCCCCCGCCGCCCGCCCCCCGCCCCGGCTGCGGTCGACCTGCACTCCCACTCCAGCCTTACCTGAGGCCGACTCGCACGAGCCCACGCGGGGCTGCGGGAGCCGATCGGGATCCCGGCCGCCGGCCCCCACCCCACCCCCTCGCGGCGCCGGCGACGGCGGTGCTGCGGCCCCTTTAAATCCGGGCCGCCCCGCCCTGCGCCGTCGACTCCGCGGCGGCCCCAGATCCAGGCCCCAGATCCAGGCCGGGCCGCGGCTCTCGCCGCCCAGCCCAGCCCAGCCCGGCCCGGCCCGGCCCTGCCGCGGAGGCGAGGCCGCCAGTGTCCCGCGCCCCTGATATCTGCAGTGAGCCTGATACCTGCCTCTGCCCTTCTGAGCCTGTTCCTCTTCCCTGAGTACAGGGCACAAAGCTTGCGCCCTGAGGGGCGGCCGGCGCGCTCCCTGGCCCGGTCCCCGCCCGGCCCCGGGCCCCCCGCCCCTCCCCGACCCGGGGCCGGGGCCCCTGCCGCCGCCGCCGCCGCCTTCCGACCCCTGCGCCCCGGCCCCGGTCCCCCGGGCCATGCAGCCTCGGCCCCGCGGGCGCCCGCCGCGCACCCGAGGAGATGAGGCTCCGCAATGGCACCTTCCTGACGCTGCTGCTCTTCTGCCTGTGCGCCTTCCTCTCGCTGTCCTGGTACGCGGCACTCAGCGGCCAGAAAGGTGAGCGCGACCCCCGCCCGGCCCGCACCTGGCGCACCTGGGCGTCGGCGGCGGGAGCGGGCCCGGCGGTGGCCGCGGAAGGCGGCCGGAAGCCGACGCAGGCGCCCCTTCCCCGCCCGGGCGGCGCGAGGACGCCCCTCCCACCCTCCCCCACTTGTTTGCTGCTGGAGCCGCGGCGTTCTCCTCGGGCCCGGGCCGCGCCCGTGGGTGCTCCGGACCGGACTCCGCGGGCGCAGCTGTCCCGACGCTGAGCTGGGGACCCGTGGGGTTCTCGGAGAGGGGCAGAGACCCAAGGTCACAGAGGTCCCGGAACGCCAGCCACAGCCACCTGGGCAGGAGCTGGGGCGGCGTGAGGGACACAGGCGCGAGGGCACCCCCCCACCCTGCTGCCTGCTGCCCCGCGCCGGCCTGGGCGACCCCGGCGTGACACCCGGTCCTGGGACTCCCTTCGGCGCCCAGAACGCGTCGGCAGCATCCGGCCTGTGGGAGGGAGGGAGGGAGGGAGGGAGGCGTCCTGAGGCAGCCCGGCCCCTGCTGCCCTGCGCTCCCGTGCGGCCCCAGCCCGTCCTCCGCACCCCGAGCTTCCCGGGCTGGCCCCCGCCCTCCGCGTGCGCCCAGCGCTCTTGCAGGCGGAGGGTGCGGGCCGATCCCCCCGCGCCGCCCCGCTGGCCGGTCTTGGCGATGGTGGGGCCGAGTAGGGCCTGAGCCCTCGGAGGCGCTCTTCCCCCGGCCTGGAGGTTCCGGGAGAGTGGCCTCCTGCCTGCCTGCCTGCTGGAGGCCTAAGCGGGCTGAGTCCAGCTGCCCCTCGGCCTCCCCGCCACCTGCTTCCCTGTTTCCCTGTCCCGGAGCGCCATCCCAGAGAGGCTGCGGAGGAGGGCGAGGGAACCTGGACCCTTCCGGACCCTCCGAGCTCCATCTACCCACGCCGAGCTCTGCCAGCACGCCCGCCTGCCGCACTTGTTCTGCCAGAGCAGAGGCCTGGGCTGGCCTTGGGGCTCCAGGGCCAGAGAGGCATCACCCAGGGACTCTGCGGGGAGCCTGCCTGACACGGGAGGGATGGCTGGGCAGAGGCCGTGCTGGCGGGGTATATTATCAAGGGCAGGCATGGCTGGGGCAGAATTCTCTGTAGGTAGGGTGTGTCACCTGGGGAAGGACATTCTGGGTCCTTGGCAGGGTGACTATAAAAGCACACTGGCATGAAGGCCTAGGTGGGGCCATATCTGAAGGGCTGGGGCATGCTCTTTGAGTCGTGGGTAGAGCCGTGAGCCCTTGCCCTTTGTCCTGAGCCAGTGTGTGCCTCCCGCAGCAGCCACATGCCCGCGGATTGATGTCAGGAGCCACCTCTGCAAGCCTGGCTTACCACAGGGAGCCAGGCTCCAGGACAGCAGAGTGAGGGAGAGGCACTGGCTCCATGGCACCCACTGTGTCTGGGGGGCATCCAGGAGGCTGGCTCTCTGAGGGCCTGGGGAACAGGAGAGCAAAGAAGGGGAGCACTTAGATTCACGAGCCCAGCCCCTAGGGGATAGAAGCCTAAGGATCCTGTGAGGTATGAGTATGGGGTGACATAGGCCTCCCTTGTCGAGGGGCTGTCACTGTTTCTGTGGTGACCCAGTAGTACCAGGTCTTTGGAGGCCTCAAGAGAAGCTGGGAATCTGGGCTCTTATGTGAACCCATCTCGTTGTCACATGTAGAAAATCTGTCTTAAACCCCTGGTGAAACCAGACGTAGCCAGTCGGAGGCCAGATTGGAACCTGGCCTCCACTTTGCAGCCAGCGGGGGTCCAGGAACTTGAGGGAAGGACCCAGGAAGTGGAATCTGCAGGGAAGGAAGGAGGTGGGCAGGGAACCAGAGAGGAAGGGCAGCAGGTGTGGGCATCATCCTGGAAACGCAAGGTCAAGCCCAGGACGGCCTCTTAGACCAACGCAAAATGGACCCTGGAGAAGGGTTTGGGGCCCAATTTCCTATCTAGCCCGTGCAGCAGCTCTGCCAGCGCTCAAACTGTGGCCCTCGGTCAAGCACCTGCTGAGGATCTGCCCAGGGAGGCAGACCCTTGGGGGCAGCCCGGGGTCTCAGCCATGCAGCGCTCCCAGCCTTCAGGCTGTCCGCCTCCCCAGGCCTGGACTTCAGCAATGATGGACACCCTTACTCCTAGGAGGTTGCAGGGTCTGGAGAGGAGGCAGACACCTGCCACACACATGCATGGTGACAGCAGACCGTTAACGGGCCTGATATCTGCCTATGCCCCTCTGAGCCTGTCCCTTTTCCCTGAGTACAAGGCACAAAGGTTGTGCCCCAGCTTGGCTCTTTAATCTTTCCCCAACCAAGAGGGAAGCAGGGGGAACTGTGGTTTGTGGGCCCCAGGATGTCCTAATGACTCGCCTCCAGGGGAGGGTGACACAGCCTCCAGGCCTCATTGCTGCTGCTCTTAACAACGTGGTCCTGAGGCAAGAAAGTGTGGCAGGGGCTCCCAGGCTGGTCCCTCTCCTCACCTGAGCTGCCTCCCCAGCTCCCGAGGGTTATAGGGTGCCAGCATGGCTTGGCAGAGCCCTGGCATAGGGCCTGGCCCATGGGGAGGCAGTCACAGAGTTGGACCCACAGTCAGAGAAGCTGAGGGCAAGGCGGGTGGAGGAGCTGGCAGGCGGGGGAGGCTGCCCAGGGCCAGGGCCTGCAGTGTGTAGGGAAATGACAGAAGGGTTGGTGTGGGCGGGAGCCCGTGGGGCCCTTTATCTCCTGGTAAACAGGACCCGGGGGAGAGGGGAGGCCCCTAGGAAGGAAGCGAGGGTAAGGCGCAGGCTGTTGCCAGGGTGATTCAGGCAGCATCACCCACCACTGCCCACCCAGCCTGTCCATCTGAGGCAGTCGTGTGGGACAGAGAAAGCCAGGGTGGGGCTCGGGGGTGGGGGTGGGCAGTGGCTGTAAGTAGGCAAGCGGGGACTGGCATCTAGGCAGGAGGGAGGCGCACCTGCAGGTGCAGGTGGCTCTGAACCCATTCCTGATGGCTCTCTAGGCCTCTGCACCTCCAGTCCCATCCCTGTGGGCGAGTGCTGCCTACACCTGGTGTCACCCAGCAATGGGTGAGCCCTGGGGATAGCCAGCTCTGCATTCAAGGGGTTAGGTTTCCAGGGTAACCGAGCCCCTGAGCCCAGCGTGGAGCCTGGCAGAGCCAGTAATCTGACTCCCCTTTCCCTCCCGCCAGGGGCTGTCCAGAGGCTCCGCTTTGCCTCAGCCTTTAGCCCCAGAGAGGCAGGGTGTGGAGGGTGGGGGCTGGCTTCTTGGGTAAGAGATGCCTCAGGGAAGATCTACCTGGCTCCCTGCTCCTTAAACCTTTCCCTCCTGCCCAGGTCCACCCCTTCCTCTTCCCTGGTCACTTGGCACTTCGACCTCCTGCCCGTTTCGGAAAGGGGTGTGCCCTGAGGTGACTGAACTTTGCCTGATCATGACCTTGATCATGCACAGGGCTGCTGGTGGGGTGAGGCCATCCCACGCAACTCTGGGGTCTGTGAAGCCACCAAGGATCAAGGAATGGAAGAGCTGCCTGAGTGTAGAGGGAGTTCGGTCAGGCTTCTTAAACTTGGAGACTTGGAAACAGAAGGCCTTGTAGGCCACATAGGTTTTCAGAGACTCGCCTGGCAGAGGCCTGGAGCGTCCTGCTGCGTGGACTGTGGGCACCGAGCCACCAGGAGGTTGTTGATCTCATTCTTGCTCACTGGTCCCTGCCAGACTGGTGGTGCCTCTCTACTGTCGGGCAGCCCCACCTCTGTGCTGCCCCATCCACCTACAGCCCTCATGCCTGGGCCCAGCTGGAGGTTCTGACAGGGGCCCCCTGGGGTGGCATGCGGACCCTTCAGGGTGCCCCAGGCGCAGCACAGGTCTCCAGAGACACAGGCACCAGGGCGTTCAGAGCTAGTCCCCTCGCTGCTGTTGACTGTCCTTGAGCAGCCCCAGGGCCGGTTTCTCAACCTCATTTGCTCACCTGAGCAATGAAGTGAGGTGGGCTCCTGGAACTGCAGCAGCCACCCCCCGGGGCCATCGTGAGGCTAAGAATCCAGTGCAGGGTGAGCAACCAGCGACCGCTACAAGGACAGTGAAGAGCTAGCACCAGGACCTTGGGTAGCCCACCCGCTGGAGGGAGCGTGTGCTGCAAAAAGCAAGAGTGGGCTTTGGAGGCCAACGGATGGAGCGGATTCAGTCTGAGGCTGTTCCAGCCCTTGCTTAGGATCCACCTACCTAGGTCTGGAAATCGTATTTCCACTTCAGATGCCTTCTCAGAGGATAAAATAACCCCCGGTGGGGGAGAGTACTGGAAGAGGGCTAATTCCCCTGGTTTTCTCCCCATGAGCATTAGTGTCAGTGTAATTTTAGAGTGACCCCAGCTATGTCACGTGTGGCAGGCACAAGAACAGATGTCAATGAGCTATTGCAGAGGTGGACACCCAGATGTGTGCGCTGGCACACTGGAGGGGCCCGTAGGGTGGCTCTAGACCGCCCCCTCGTGACGGCTTGCCTACCACCTGCAGGCGACGTTGTGGACGTTTACCAGCGGGAGTTCCTGGCGCTGCGCGATCGGTTGCACGCAGCTGAGCAGGAGAGCCTCAAGCGCTCCAAGGAGCTCAACCTGGTGCTGGACGAGATCAAGAGGGCCGTGTCAGAAAGGCAGGCGCTGCGAGACGGAGACGGCAATCGCACCTGGGGCCGCCTAACAGGTGAGGTCTGGGGCGGGAGGGGGAAAAGGCGGGGGCGGGCTGGTTGTAGGTTCCCTGGTCTCAGTCCCGATCCTTCCCGACCCACCCAGAGGACCCCCGATTGAAGCCGTGGAACGGCTCACACCGGCACGTGCTGCACCTGCCCACCGTCTTCCATCACCTGCCACACCTGCTGGCCAAGGAGAGCAGTCTGCAGCCCGCGGTGCGCGTGGGCCAGGGCCGCACCGGAGGTATGGGCGCAGACAGGGAGGAGCACGGGGTGGGGGGACGGGTGGCCCCCGCACCCTTTCCAGCGTCGGGCCTCCGTCCCCCATAGTGTCGGTGGTGATGGGCATCCCGAGCGTGCGGCGCGAGGTGCACTCGTACCTGACTGACACTCTGCACTCGCTCATCTCCGAGCTGAGCCCGCAGGAGAAGGAGGACTCGGTCATCGTGGTGCTGATCGCCGAGGCGAGTGAGCCGGGACGCGGGGTTGGGGGACATTCAGAGGAGCCCCCGCGGTGCAGAACTGACAGCAGGAACCATTCCGAGGAGAAAGCTGTCGGAAGTTCAGTTGCTAGTTTCATTCGCAAATGCTCCGAGATAGAAAGTTGAAAGGGCTTTCTGGCACCCTCTACCCCTACCCATCGCCCCCGCCACCCCCTAGTCCTTGGCCATGCGAGTCCCAAAGGGAAAGGGCCGTCTCTGGGGGCCCCCTTACTCCGCCCTCAGCACAGCAGGCTCACTCCCTCCACGTGGGGGGCATCTGAAGCCTGTGCCCCTTCTCCAAGCCCTTCCAGGCCTTTTGGGGCAGCAGCAGGGCTAAGGGAGGGTGCTTGGTCTCCCCACAGACTGACTCACAGTACACTTCGGCAGTGACAGAGAACATCAAGGCCTTGTGAGTACTGGCGACCCCAGAGAGCTGGTGGCGGGAGAGCTCGGTGCGGGGTGTTGTGCTGGCAGGTTCCTGCCTCCCCATGAGATAGTGCCTTTCCTATCTCGTGGGGAGGCAGGGACCTGGTGGGGGAGGGGTGGGTGTGCAGAAGTGGCCCAGCCCCTCTGGAGCTCTGCTACCTCAGTTGGCTGGGTGTAGGGGGTGGTGGGGGGCTGGCACTGGGTGAGCCTCAAGAAAGGGCCACAGTCTGGTGGGCTCGGCCCCTCTCAGCCCCTGGAGGCTGCATACGGACTAGGCCTTCCCGTCCCCCAGGTTCCCCACGGAGATCCATTCTGGGCTCCTGGAGGTCATCTCACCCTCCCCCCACTTCTACCCTGACTTCTCCCGCCTCCGAGAGTCCTTTGGGGACCCCAAGGAGAGAGTCAGGTACTAGTTACTCCCCCATACCCTCAGCAACCCGCCTGCCTGTGCTGAGAACCCATCTACTGGTGTTTGAGTCCAGGGTGTTTCCCTGCAGTGCCCTGAATTCTCCATGGGAGGACCCGTGCATGGGGGTGGGGGGACAGAAGCTGCCCACCCAGCGGCTTCTCTGCGGAGCCACAATGGAGGTGGAGGGGTCTGAACTTCTGAGGCCCCGCCCCGGCCCACAGGTGGAGGACCAAACAGAACCTCGATTACTGCTTCCTCATGATGTACGCGCAGTCCAAAGGCATCTACTACGTGCAGGTCAGCCCCAAGCCCTGCGTTGCCCTGCCCTGCCCTGCGCCGCCCTGCCCTGCGATGGGTCTGGTCCATCTGGGTGCCCTTCCTCAGCCCCAGCCCCTCTCTGCTCACCTCGCAGCTGGAGGATGACATCGTGGCCAAGCCCAACTACCTGAGCACCATGAAGAACTTTGCACTGCAGCAGCCTTCAGAGGACTGGATGATCCTGGAGTTCTCCCAGCTGGGCTTCATTGGTGTGCCCCTCCCCTTACCTGACGGTGCCTTTCAGTCCCACCTGCCTCTGCCATCCTCTCTCCCAGTCCCACTGTGTCCACTGTGAGCCTTTGCCCAGGTGGGCCCTGCCTGGTGTGCGTGCTACAGCCCCACCTGGCCTGTTCTCATTGCCTGTGCATCAGACATGTCTGCCCTCATCACCTGTCTGCCTCCCTGCCCCGTTATGCCCACACCTGCCTGAAGCCTGCCCCTGGGTTTGCTGTGGGACTCGGGGGCCGCTGCAGGGAGAAAGGAAGTAGGCAGAGCAGCACTGCCCACTCAGGCCCCTCCCCACCAGGTAAGATGTTCAAGTCGCTGGACCTGAGCCTGATTGTAGAGTTCATTCTCATGTTCTACCGGGACAAGCCCATCGACTGGCTCCTGGACCATATTCTGTGGGTGAAAGTCTGCAACCCCGAGAAGGATGCGGTGAGCAAGAGCTGGCGGGACTGGCAGGGGCAGGGCCAAGGGGCAGGCAGCCTCCACCCCAAACTGTGTCCCTGTCCTTGCATCTGCTCACATAGAGCACTGTCAGCTGTGGGAGGGCCCTGGTAGTCCCCAGGAGAGGCCGTGTTGAGGAAGGAGGGCTAAGCCGAGCCCTGGGGTGTTGCCCACCCTCCACAGAAGCACTGTGACCGGCAGAAAGCCAACCTGCGGATCCGCTTCAAACCGTCCCTCTTCCAGCACGTGGGCACTCACTCCTCGCTGGCTGGCAAGATCCAGAAACTGAAGGTGGGCTGCACTGCACGCTCTCCCTAGGCCGGGATCAAGGTCGGGGCCCACGCCATCACTGCTGTCCCTCCTCCGCTGCAGGACAAAGACTTTGGAAAGCAGGCGCTGCGGAAGGAGCATGTGAACCCGCCAGCAGAGGTGAGCACGAGCCTGAAGACATACCAGCACTTCACCCTGGAGAAAGCCTACCTGCGCGAGGACTTCTTCTGGGCCTTCACCCCTGCCGCGGGGGACTTCATCCGCTTCCGCTTCTTCCAACCTCTAAGACTGGAGCGGTCAGTGCCAGCACCATGGGTCTGCGATGGGGGCGGGGCTGGGTGGCCCCCAGGGTGTAGGCTTCACCGGCAAGTTATCCTCACGTTCTTCAGTTTCCGCATCTGAAGTGGGCCTCGTAATGGTAGCTACCTTGTGAGGACTAAGTCAGGCAGCCCCTAGGAGCTCAGGGATGTTTCCTGTCACCATCCTCCCAGAGGAAGGCCCTGGTCTCTTTGCACAGCCTGACAGCTGCCTGGGGGGCCCTCCTGGCGCAGGCCTGGCCTTTCTCTGCTGGGCCCTGGGTGCTGTGCTGGAACGCTGCCCCTGCAGCAGCTCACAGGCCTGCCTGGCTGCAGGTTCTTCTTCCGCAGTGGGAACATCGAGCACCCGGAGGACAAGCTCTTCAACACGTCTGTGGAGGTGCTGCCCTTCGACGTAAGTTCGGTGGGTGTGGTGTGCACTGAAGCCGGGCCTCCTGTGACCACCTGCCTCAGCCCTTGATTCTGCCCCCAGAACCCTCAGTCAGACAAGGAGGCCCTGCAGGAGGGCCGCACCGCCACCCTCCGGTACCCTCGGAGCCCCGACGGCTACCTCCAGATCGGTGGGTAGGGTTTGGGGGAGAGCGTGGGCTGGGGTTCAGGGACACCCTCTCACCACTGCCCTCCCACAGGCTCCTTCTACAAGGGAGTGGCAGAGGGAGAGGTGGACCCAGCCTTCGGCCCTCTGGAAGCACTGCGCCTCTCGATCCAGACGGACTCCCCTGTGTGGGTGATTCTGAGCGAGGTGAGGCTGGGCAGGGCCAGGCCAGGCACGGGGAGCAGCCAGGGAGACCCTGGCGGAGCTCAGAGGCCCTGCTGACCCTGGGTCCGGCTCTTCCAGATCTTCCTGAAAAAGGCCGACTAAGCTGCGGGCTTCTGAGGGTACCCTGTGGCCAGCCCTGAAGCCCACATTTCTGGGGGTGTCGTCACTGCCGTCCCCGGAGGGCCAGATACGGCCCCGCCCAAAGGGTTCTGCCTGGCGTCGGGCTTGGGCCGGCCTGGGGTCCGCCGCTGGCCCGGAGGCCCTAGGAGCTGGTGCTGCCCCCGCCCGCCGGGCCGCGGAGGAGGCAGGCGGCCCCCACACTGTGCCTGAGGCCCGGAACCGTTCGCACCCGGCCTGCCCCAGTCAGGCCGTTTTAGAAGAGCTTTTACTTGGGCGCCCGCCGTCTCTGGCGCGAACACTGGAATGCATATACTACTTTATGTGCTGTGTTTTTTATTCTTGGATACATTTGATTTTTTCACGTAAGTCCACATATACTTCTATAAGAGCGTGACTTGTAATAAAGGGTTAATGAAGTGTGTGCCTCAAATGTGAGCGCCCTGGGCATCTCCCTCTGCCCCTGCGGTTGGCTTCATTTGGTCTGTGCCCCAACATGCCAACTAAGCCTGGCACTGGGCCTCCCCAGCCAGCATCAGCAGCGACCTTTCCCTGCTAAGTCAAGGAGCCAGCCTGGCCTGCAGGCGCGGGGTCCAGCCCCTGGCTGTGCAGCTGCAGTGCCACCTCGGCGCCAGCGTACCCCCCTTCCTAGGATCAGGCCGCAAAGTCTGTCACTGGTGAAACCAGCTCAGAATCTGGGACCACAATGCCTATAGCAGGTCCCCCGAATGTCTCCCCCATGTCCAAGGCCTGCGATGAGGCCTTCCCTTAGCTCCTCAAGCTGAAGGCATTTCCCAGCCTCCTTGTTCCCCTCCGTGTGTCTCAGCTTGGTCCTCATCCTGGGTCCCCGACACTCCTCTGGCACATTAGGGTCTCCCGCTCACCTCAGGGCCTTTGCACACACTGTTGCCCCTCCTTGGAAAGCTCTCCTTTCTCCGTTTCTCCTGCATACTTGGCTAAAAGTCACTTCTTTGTTTCTGTGGGCCTCCCCTGGATCCCCAAGGCTTCTGGACATTTCCTTGAGACCGCCTGTCACTGACTCACTTCGTTCCCATGGTGCCCGCAGCTCTGCGGACCTCGGAGGGCTGCCCTGAACACCTACAGTTAACGAGGGGGATCCAGTGCTGACCAAAAGAAAAACCCCTGCCCTCACCTGGGGAGAGAGCCACAGGCTCTATCTAGTGTCAGCTGTGAAGGCCAGGGGACGAGGGACTGCGGCGGCTGAGAGTCGAGGGAAGGCCCCTGAGGAGGGGGACCGGTGAGGAGACCGCTGAGCGCTAGGAGGGTGAACCCCGGCAGGACTGGGCGGCCTTGTGACCCCGAGGCTGAGTAGGGAGTGGGGTAGGAGGTGAAGACCGGATCCAGTCCCGCCCCAGGGGGAGGGCTCGTTCCTTCGCAGCCACTCTCACGCCGCCACTAGGAAGCCCGCCCCGGGCTGCCCGGACTCGGGCTGGGCCCCTCCAGGCTCCGTAGCCCGCGGTGCGCCACCCCCGCGGACCCAGAGAACGCAGCCCGGGTCTCGGTCACTAGAACTTTAATGATAGAGACTAGGATGCGGAAGCGAGCGCCCCTCCCCGGGGCAGCTGGAGGCTCCGGCTCTTCTTTCCCGGCTCCGTCGGCCCGGGGGCCTTGGTCTCAGGCCCACGGCAGCAGCGTCCGGAGCCGTCCGAGGAGCGCGGCGCGCAGCGCGGCCGGGAGGAAGTGGGCGAGCAGGCCGAGCGCAGCCAGCGCCACCAGCAGCCAGAGGGCGCGCGCGCTCGCGTACAGCGGTGCCAGCCTGCGGGCGGCGGTCAGCGGGGAGGTGGCGCGAGGAGGCCCGCTTCTTCCCCGCCGCAACCCTGGCCCCACGGGGACTTCCTCTGGCCGCCGCCAGGGCTCGCCCACCGAATCCCCAAAGGCGCTGGGCTCCGGCCCGTCGCCCGCCCCCAGCTTCGGTCCCGCTCCCCAGGAGCCCCGCCCGCCCGCGATCTTTCCCCGGCCCCGCCCCGCTCCCCGCCCGGCCCTCACCTGAGCTGCGCGGAGCGCGCGTAGCCCTGGAAGTAGCGGAGGCGCGCGAACAGGTAGACCAGGCCGCACAGGGCCGCCGCCCCTGCGAGAGGTACGCACGGGCCTGGTGAGCGCCCTGCGCGGGTCCCGGGGGTCCAGCGCGTGCGCCCCTGCCCCACACCCCGACCTTCATGAAAGAAGATGCCGGCGACCCAGAGCGTGGCGAGGAACAGCGGGAAGTACTCGCTGCAGTTCACCCTGCGGTGGGCGGGTGGGATGAGCGCGCCGGCCGGGATGGTCCTGCGACCCGGACCCGCCTGGGGCTCGCTCCCCGCCCCGCGCCCTCCCGCCGCGCCTCACTGGGCTCGGTAGACGCGCTCGAACTCGGGTGGGCCGGTGGTGAGCGGCGGCGACACGCGGAAGGCCCTGCGCGCCGAGATCACCTGCAGGGAGAAGTAGGCTGGGGGAGGAGGGGGAGCGGGAGTCAGGTCTGGACACCCGAAGCCCCAGAGATGGGAGTGGGAGGGATCCTGCAATCTGGCCCTTCACTTGGCCGTGTCCTCTCCTCCCTAAGGCGGAACCCCGCCCCCTCCCCGCCCGAGGAGACCTCTCGTCTCACCCATCCCTGGCCTGCCCTGTGTCCCTGACATTCAGCGAGGAGGGCAGGGCTGAAGCCTGGGGCGCAGAGAGGCCCTGTCCCAACCTGTGAGTGTATGGGGGAGGGTGAGTGATTCAGGCACAGGGACACCTGCTCCGCGAGAGAGACCACTTGAGTCCTTGTTTCTGAATCATTTCACTCTCAAAACACAGGCAAATGCAGCTTTCAGGTCCCTGGCCAGGAAGTGCCTCGGGAGTCTGAGGGCAGAGCTGGCTGCATCCTCCCAGGTGCAAGGAAGCACACTCCCTGTAGCTAACAGTCCCTGGTCACCCACCTACCAGCGCCCACCAGCAGGGCCCTCTGACCCTGCCTCAGGCCGGGATCACTAAAGCCTGCGTCCCTGTGCCTCCAAACCTCAGTTTCTCTGTTCCTGCATTCCGGTCCCAGGCCTAAATCTGACAGACACCTTCTCTCCTGCTCCCAGGAGGTTGCAGCTGGGACTCTCCTAGCCTAACCCCAGGACCCCAGGGCTGGGGTAGTTGCAGAGGGTGGGCTGGCCCTAAAGTTTCTCTGTGGGCAGGAGCCCTTCTCTTGGTCAGGTGAGGCCAGGCCAGACCACACACAGACCAGTGCTGGCTGTGCGCTCCCTCCCCAGACCTCCCGTCGGACCATCTCCCCCTGAGTCCTGCAGCCCTGGCACCTTTGGTTCTGGGCCCTCTGCAGATGGGTGTCACAGGGTGGCCATCCAGCTCAGTGCAGGAGCAGCTGGAGGTCAGGCTGGCCTGTCTGTTCAGCCCCTTCAGAGCCCCCTCCCCAGGCTGTGCCTTATCCTAGCCCACACACTGTGGAGTAGTGGTGTCTCTTAGGTGGCAAGGATATCTGGCCAAGGAATGTGTCCTTTAGGGCCAGTCTGAGAAAGGCATTAAGCAGGCTCTTTTTAGGGGGCTGGAGGAAGGAGTCCCACCTCTACCCTGCTCCACGTGGTCCCAGTATGGAGGTGCCTTTGAAGCAGAGCCAGGGAATGGGGGCCGCTTGCTGGGACGCCCAGAGAGGGGACAGCTGGAAAGAGCAGAGATCAGCTTCCCCAAGCCCATGGCTATCCTACCATTTGTCCTGGCACCCTTGCCACCCCCAAGTCCTACAGCTCTCACAGCCAGGTGCCCCCCAGTTCCCTGAAAGTCCCCACCCTCTTCCAGCTTGGGCCTGGGCTGGAGTCCCCACCTCTGCCCTCCACCTGGGCCTAGGGGGCAGAGGGCAAGCTGTAGGGATCTAAGGCCCACCCTCTTCCTAGATAGGAACCAGCCCACCTTGCAGCAGGACTCCCAGGAGGGTGACAGCAGCCAGTAGAGCTACCTCGTCCTTCATGGTACCGTCGGTGTGGTGGCACGGGCTGTGTGTGAAGGCGAGCTGGGGAACGCTTAGCCCCGTCTGCTGCTCAGAGGACGGCCCAGGAGAGGAAGAGCAGCCTCGGTGCTCTCCCCGCCCCATCTCAGTGGAGGGGGTGCACGGGGGTGTGACCATACCACACAGAGCCAGGGAGCCAGGCCAAGCCAGCAGGGAGGAAACCAAAGTCTGGGCAGGGGAGAGCAGCTAGCTGGAGACCGCCTCACCACTTCCTGCTTGTTCGTGCCCCTTCCTTGCCTAGTCCCGCGTGGCAGAGCCCAAGCTGTCCATCTGGGTCAGCTCCAGCTGTGGGTGTGCCCCCTGCTGCACCACCCCACTTTCTCCAGGGCCTTGCAGACCCCCACATCATGCTGGAGCCAGCCCCAGGCTCCCGGCTAACTCCTCCACCCACCTTATCTGTTCCCTGTCCCCATCCAGGCTGTTCCTGGCAACCCCTGCCAAACCCTCCTCTGCGGAAGCCCTTCCCAGTGCCTTTGGCTTCAGAATGGAGTCCCAGCGCCCCCCCAGCCACACTGGGCCCCACAAGCTCTTTCTCCTTCAGGAAACCTCATGCCTGCCAGCCTTAGTCGTTGTAGGGGTTCCATGCACAAGGGCCACCCTGCCAGGAGGAAACCTGTCCAAGGCCCCCTGGGTGGCGGGAGGGTCAGCCCTTGTGGGCCATCCCTCTCCCAGGCCTCTCTTGGGCCTCCCACAACAGTCACCTGCTGTGTCTTTCTGCCCCGCAGCCCTCTTGCCTCAAGGTAACAACCCTCCACCACCTTCCTAGACGGCTGCCCTCCCCACACTCAGGCCCTGTGGTCTGGACAGTGCTGACTCCTGCCCCTTCCAGGCCTGTGAGATGGACACTGAGCCAAGGCTGACTCAAGATGGTGAGATGTAGTTCTGGAAACTTCCTTAGGACTTTGGGACAGGAAACTCAGAGTGGGGAGGGGGACTACGGCGGGCCACCCTGAGGACAGAGCCCACGCAGGGCCAGGTGGAGAGGAAAGGTGGCACCCGAGGACTCCTGCCTGGAGTTCTGGGTGTCTCCCTCGCCCCGCCTGGAGCGCCCCCGGCCGCCCCCCTCGCCCTGCCTGGAGTGCCCCTGGCCGCCAGCCTTCCCAGTTGGGCCTAACGGTCACTTCCTCTTTTGGCTTGAGTGGGTTTGCGGTGGCTTTTGGTCAGAAGTGGCAAAGTCCAGACTGACCCAGAAGCACGGGCAGGAGCTGGGGGAGGCCACAGGCCGTGCTGCAGGGGTCGGGCCGCATGGTTCTGCCCTCGCACCTGGTCCTTCCTTGCTGCCCCAAGCTCAGCTCCAGCCTGAGGCTCGGAGCCTGTTGGGCTCTCTCAGAATCCCTTCTTCCTCCTCTGGGTATCGCCCCTGCCCCCGGAAACCAGATATGCCCCAGCTGGGGGCTCTGTGAGCTCCTCCAGGGCAGGGGCCAGGGCTCAGGCCCGGCCCCTGCTTTAGACCAAGCTGTGACAGTCATCTTGGGGCTCAGTGATGGAGGACTGCCTCCTAGATCCCGGACACAGATGTAGTGCCAGGGAGCGATGGTGGCCGCGTCCTCAGACTCTGCCCACTCAGCCTCCTTCCTCCCTGAAACCTGCCCCACAGGGCCTGCCTGAAGGGTGGGATGCAGCCCACCACGCAGGGGTTGACGCTGGTGCCAGTGGGCTGTGCCCAGGGTGTCTGTGTGCACCACGCATACATACCTGCATGCCCCTTGGTCAGTTGTCACACACCCATGTCTCTGTGCTTGTGGGTGTCCAAGTGTCTTCGTGAGTCCAGGCCCTCCTGTCAGCCAAGCTCTCATTTCCTCCAAGGCCTGAATGTCCTCCCGTCGGAGTTCATCCCCTCAGTCCACAGCAGGAAGCCAAAGCCTAACATCAGCAGCTTCTGAGGAAGTCCCTTGGCAGATGTGCAGGGCAGGGACCTGGGTCTTGGCCCCGGGAGCCCTCCCCGGGTCTCTTGGTTCCCACCTCCCTCCCTCTGAGCCTGCCCAGGCTGTCAGGGCCCTGCCTGGGCTCAAGCCAGCTCAAGCTGACAGGAGGGCCAGCCAAGCCCCCACCCCTGCTCGGGCCACCCAGCTTCCATCTTCCTGTCTAGCTCTGGAGGCACCAGCATCAGGAGGGAAGCGAAAGCTCCTCCCTGAGCCTCCACAGAGCCCTAAGGAGTCTCTGATGCCCACTCACCAGGACCTCTGGGCGGCAGAAAGGCCGGCAGAACCATTGCACAGAGAAGAAATCAGAACTTCTGTGGAGTGGATCATAGGCAGTGCACAACTCAGACCCTGAGCTTGAACAAGAAAGTTTATTTAGAAATTATTTTATATTTGAGACAGGATCGTGCTCTGTTGCCCAGGCTGGAGTGCAGTGGCTCAACATGCCTCACTGCATCCTCAAACTCCCGGGCTCAAGCAATCCTCCCACCTCAAGCCTCTCAAGTAGCTGGGACCACAGGCTCTAATTTTTTTTTTTTTTTTCCAGAGATGGAGTCTTGCTATGTTGCAGGCTGGTCTCAAACTCCTGGGCTGAAGTGATCCTCTGCCTCAGCCTCCCAAAGTGCTGGGATTACAGGCATGAGCCACCATGCTTGGCTGAAATTATTTTAGACTTACAAAAAAGTTGCAAAAATCTACAGTCTCGGCCAGGCGCGGTGGCTCATGCCTGTAATCCCAACACTTTAGGAGGCTAAGGTGGGCGGATTACCTGAAGTTAGGAGTTTGAGGTCAGCCTGGCCAACATGGTGAAACCCCATCTCTACTAAAAATACAAAAATTAGTCAGGCGTGGTAGCAGGCACCTATAATCCCAGCCACTTGGGAGGCTGAGAGAGGAGAATTGCTTGAACCCAGGAGGCAGAGGATGCAGTGAGCCAAGATCACACCTGAGCGACGGAGCGAGACTGTGTCTCAAAAAAAAAAAAAAAAAAAAAAAAAAAAAAAAAAAAAAAAAAAAAACTTGTATAACCAAAATTCAGTTATAAACCAAGAGATTTCCATTGATACAAGTTAGTAATCAAGTATTTTACGGATCTTATTCAAGTTTCACCAACTGTCCTACTGGAATAGTACAAAGACCTCAAAAACTTTATGCTAAATTGTGCCAGGCTGGGCATGGTGGCTAACGCCTGTAATCCCAGCACTTTGGGAGGCCGAGGTTGTGGACCACCTGAGGTCGGGAGTTCAAGACCAGCCTGACCAACATGGAGAAACCCTGTCTCTACTAAAAATACAAAATTAGCCGGGCATGGTGGTGCATGCCTGTAATCCCAGCTACTCCGGAGGCTGAGGCAGGAGAATTGCTTGAACCCAGGAGACAGAGGTTGCAGTGAGCCAAGATCGCGCCATTGCACTCCAGCCTGGGCAACAAGAGCGAAACTCCGTCTCCAACAAAAAAAAAAAAGAAAAGAAAAGAAAAAAAAAAAAAGGCACAGAGAGGGCCAGGCGCGGTGGCTCACGCCTGTACTCCCAGCACGAGGTGGGCAGGTCACGAGGTCAGGAGATCGAGACCATCCTGGCTAACACGGTGAAACGCCGTCTATACTAAAAAATACAAAAAATTAGCCGGGGGTGGCGGTGGACGCCTGTAGTCCCAGCTACTCTGGAGGCTGAGGCAGGAGAATGACGTGAACCAGGGAGGCGGAGCTTGCAGTCAGCCGAGATCGCGCCACTGCACTCCAGCCTGGGCAACAGAGCTAGACTCCGTCTCAAAAATAAAAAAATAGAAAAATTAAACCATAGACTTAGAGAAAACATTTGTGAATCATATATATGATTAAAAAAATACTTTGAATTCAAAATATATAAAAACTCTCAAAACTGGATAGTAAGAAGACAGTTTCCTGAGTAAATGGGTGCAGATCCCTGTAGGGCAGAGATCACCTGCTGTACAGCTGAGAACTGATTCAGTCTGGAAGTGGCCTGGGATCGTGAGAACCTGAGTCTTTACTGGGGCAGCTGGCCTGGCTTCTCTCTGCTTCTCTGTTCTTCTTCTTTTCTTTCTTTCTTTCTTTCTTTTTTTTTTTTTTTGAGACAGAGTCTAGCTCTGTCGCCCAGGCTGGAGTGCAGTGGCGCCATCTCGGCTCACTGCAAGCTCCGCCTCCCAGGTTCACGCCATTCTCCTGCCTCAGCCTCCCGAGTAGCTGGGACTACAGGCGCCCGCCACCACGCCTGGCTAATTTTTTGGTATTTTTAGTAGAGACGGGGTTTCACTGTGTTAGCCAGGGTGGTCTCGATCTTCTGACCTTGTGATCCACCCGCCTTGGCCTCCCAAAGTGCTGGGATTACAGGCGTGAGCCACTGCACCCAGCTTTTCTTTTCTTTTTGAGATAGGGTCTTACTCTGTTGCCCAGGCTGGAGTGCAATGGCGTGATCTCAGCTCACTGCAACCTCCGCCTCCTGGGTTCAAGCAATTCTCCTGCCTCAGCCTCCTGTGTAGCTGGAATTACAGGCGTGCACCACCATGCCCAGTGTATTAGTCCGTTTTCACGCTGCTGATAAAGATATACCCAAGACGGGGCAATTTAACAAAAGAAAGAGGTTTATTGGACTTTGGGGAGGCCTCACAATCATGGCAGAAGGCAAGGAGGAGCAAGTCACATCTTACGTGGATGGCAGCAGGCAAAGAGAGAGGAGCTTGTGCAGGGACACTCCCTTTTTTTTAAATTTTTTTATTTTTATTTTTGGTTTTGTTTTTCGAGATGGAGTTTCGCTCTTGTTGCCCAGGCTGGAGTGCAGTGGTGTGATCTCAGCTCACTGCAACCTCCGCCTCCCAGGTTCAAGCGATTCTCCTGCCTCAGCCTCCCGAGTAACTGGGATTACAGGTGTCCGCCACCACGTCTGGCTAATTTTTTGTATTTTTACAAAAAATACAGCCTGCCCATGTTGGGCAGGCTGGTCTCCAACTCCTGACCTCAGTGATCCACCCGCCTTGGCCTCCCAAAGTGCTGGGATTATAGGCGTGAGCCACCAAGCCTGGTCCATTTGATGGTTTTAAAAACAGGAGTTTCCCAGGTGGGCCTGTCCTCACCTGAGGTCAGGAGTTTGAGACCAGCCTGCCCAACATGGCGAAACTCCGTCTCTACTAAAAATACAGAAATTAGCTGGGCATGGTGGCATGCACCTGTAATCCCAGCTACTTGGGAGGCTGAGACAGAATCACTTGAACCCGGAAGGTGGAGGTTGCAGTGAGCTGAGACCGCGCCACTGCACTCCAGCCCGGGCAAAAATTCAAGTTATAGCACTTTTGATCTCTTGCCACTAAGAAAGGCACACAGGCCTTGGCGGGCCTCTGGAGGCTTTGGATGCAACACAGTTCACACTCGGGACTGCTGCTTTGACTCCTGCCAGGATGCAGGGCAAGCAACCTTCTGCTTGGTTCAGAAAATCGAGCACACCCCCTGGTGCTAGAAATAGCTGTGGTAGAGACAGGGCCAGGTGGTGTTTCTAGCAGAAGCCTCGTGAGAGAGTCATAGTGCATAATCTTATGGTCCCAGATCAAGGCTGTGCCTTCCCCAGCAGGGAATGGACATTGTTCCAAAAACAAAACAAATGAAAACTGGACCTTGGGACATTGGGGCACCAAGTGACTGCGTGGCCAGGGCAGTCTGCCACAGGAGCTGGTTCTGTTGGGCCCAAGAAGTCCAACAGTGTGCAGGCCCAAGGCCATCCTTCCTGCAGTAGAAGGATGCTCCAGCACCCACGGCATCCCAGTGCACAGGTTAGCACAAGCAAACTCCTATGTCACCCACTGCTGTGGCTCCAGCATGCTCCCTGACAGTAGCCAAAACCTGCCTCCAGGGAGAGGCTCTCTTTCACCAATGGCTTGTGTTTCCAGGCTCCTGATGGTGTCTCCTGATGCACAGAAGCTCTTAAATTGACTGTAACAAATGAATCAGTGTTTTACCTTATGGTTAACTCTTTTTGTATTTTGTCTAATAAATTCTTCCCAACTCTGAGGTCATCAAGATAGTCTCCTATATTCAGGTCTGCAATCTACGGTAATCCCAGCTACTTGGGAGGCTGAGGCAGGAGAATCGCTTGAACCCGGGAGATGGAGGTTGCAGTGAGCAGAGATTGCGCCATTGCACTCCAGCCTGGGCGACAGGGTGAGACTCCTTCTCAAATTAAAACAACAACAACAAAAAAAACATTCATTCATGAGGGTTCTGCCCTCATGACCCAATCACCTCTTACTAGGCCCCACCTCCCAACACTGTTGCACTGGGGATTAAGTCCAACACATGAACTTTTGGGGCATGCATTCAGCAGATTTGCTTTGTCTGGATATTTCATATAAATGCAACTATACAATATGTGGTCTTCTGTGTCTGGCACAACTTAGCAAAATGTTTTTGAGGTCTTTGTAGTATTTTCACAACTTTTTTGTAAGGTTGAAAATATTTCAAAATGAAAAGCTAAAAATAGAAAACATGGCCGGGAGCCGTGGCTCATACCTGTAATCCCAGCACTTTGGGAGGCCAAGGCGGGTGGCTCACCTGAGGTCAAGAGCTGGAGACCAGCCTGGCTAACATGGTGAAACCCCGTCTCTACTAAAAACTACAAAAATTAGCCAGGCATGGTAGTGGGCACCTGTAATCC
The DNA here is from genome assembly GCF_000001405.40 of Homo sapiens. Classification (NCBI taxonomy): domain Eukaryota; kingdom Metazoa; phylum Chordata; class Mammalia; order Primates; family Hominidae; genus Homo; species Homo sapiens. The sequence continues at coordinate 179,787,458 of NC_000005.10, read as the reverse complement.
CAGCTACTCAGGAGGCTGAGGCAGGAGAATTGCTGACTCCTGCCAGGATGCAGGGCAAGCAACCTCCTGCTTGGTTCACAAAATCCGGAGGCAGAGGTTGCCGTGAGCCAGGATTGTGCCACTGCACTCCAGCCTGGGCGACCAAGCGAGACTCTGTCTCAAAAACAAACAAAAAAAAGAAAACATGAATTGCTCGTGGCCCTTTCCCGCGTGGAAGGGACTCAGTTTGCACCGGGTGGTGACTGGTCTCCTCACTCAGTCCCTTGAGGAGACCAACGCTGGTCTCTGTCACTGGCAGGCTGGAGACTTGGGCACTTGGGTGGCAGATCCGGGTTTGTCTGGGTGAGCCAGAGCCACGATGCTGGGATCCCGCTGGGCCCCACCCCTGCCACTGCTGCTTACTGCTCTTGAGCCCGCCTTGCTGGGCCCAGCACTCGGGGGCCATGACAGAGGCTGGCTGGTGGTCACTGCAGCTGCAACTGGGACTCAACTTTGCTGTGTTTGCAGCAGACTGCTGTCAGCTGCTAGGGATCATTTGCGTTTCGTTGGGCCCAGACTGGAAAATCAAATGGGCATCTATGGCCAGGCGTGGTGGCTCACTCCTGTAATCCCAGCACTTTGGGAGGCTGAGGTGGGCGGATCACCTGAGGTCAGGAGATTGAGACCAGCCTGGTCAACATGATGAAACCTCGTCTCTACTAAAAATACAAAAATTAGCTGGGCGTGGTGGCGGGAGCCTGTAATCCCAGCTTGGGAGGGTATGGCAAGAGAATCGCTTAAACCCAGGAGGCGGAGGTTGCAGTGAGCCGAGATCGTGCCACTCTACTCCAGCCTGGGCGACAAGAGCGAAATTCCATCTCAAAAAAAAAAAGGCACCTATGAGGCAGACGCCACCCTGTGTCTGACCCACTGGGAAGCAAGGCTCCTTGTCATTTCTTCTCTGGGCCTTCCCCACTGTGGCTTCCCAGGCCAATACCCCGTGTGAGGCTTCTGTCAACTATGAAGTGAGTCCTCTTTGATTAGATATCAAGGCCAAGGAAATGGCTGGGTGGAGCTGTGGACCCAGTGGTCCCACTGGGAGCTGGGCCTAGGCCAGGATGATTCTTCTTTCTTCTTTCTTCCTTCTTTCTTCTCTCCTCCTCCTCTTCTTCTTCTTCCTTTCTTCTTCTTCCTTCTCTTTCTCCTTCCTCTTCTTTTCTTCCTCCTCCTCCATTTTTTTTTTTTGAGATGGAGTTTCATTCTTGCTCCTGGAGTATAATGGCACAATCTCGGCTCCCTGCAACCTCTGCTTCCCAGGTTCAAGCGATTCTCCTGCCTCAGCCTCCTGAGTAGCTGGGATTACAGGTGCGCCCCACCACTCTCTGCTAATTTTTTGTATTTTTACTAGAGACAGGGTTTCACCATGTTGTCCAGGCTGGTCTTGATCTCCTGACCTCAGGTGATCCACCCACCTCGGCCTCCCAAAGTGCTGGGATTACAGGTGTGAGCCACTGAGTGCAGCCCTCCTGCAGAACATATTTGGCTGGTAGGTGTCAGGGCCATCACAAACAGAGTACAGCCGACCCTTAAACATTGTGGAGGTTAGAGGCGCTGACCCCTGCACAGCCGAAAATCCACTACATCTTTTGGCCCCTCCAAAACTTAACTACCAATAGCCTACTGTTGACGGAAAGCCTTAGAGAGAACATAAAGAGTCCACGAACACCTGCTTTGTATGGGAAGTGTGTTGTCATACACTGTGTTCTTACAATAAAGTAAGCTAGAGAAAAGAAAATGTTCAGAAAATCATAAAACACATTTATAGTACTGTACTGTATCAATACCGTGCGTTTATGTCATCCATTTACAAGATGAATCGGCTGGGAGGGTGGCACCCGTGGCTGCAGACCTCAATCTATAATACCTATCAAGCAACTTAAATTGTTCTTATCGTCATGACTTTCCTTTGCTTCTTGGAGGCACTTGCAGCATCACTAATGGCACGTTGTATGGGTCCCATGGTGTTACTGAAGATTTACAGTACTGCACCAAACATGATGAAAAAACACAAGAACTGACAGAGATCCCTTTTTTTTTTTTTTTAAATAAAGTCTTGCTCTGTTGCCCAGGCGGGAGTGCAGTGGCACGATCTCGACTCGCTGCAACCTCTGCCTGCCAGGTTCAAGTGATTATCTTGCCTCAGCCTCCCGAGTAGCTGGGATTACAGGTGTGCGCCACCACGCCTGGCTAATTTGTATATTTTTAATAGAGACAATTAAAAGGTCAGCAGGAAAAGGTTTCACCATATTGGCTAGGCTGGTCTTGATCTCCTGACCTCGGCCACCCCAAGTGCTGGGATTACAAGCATGAGCTACTGCGCCCAGCCGAGAGATCCCTTTTTACTGTGATCTACAATTTACTGGAGGGACAAACTGCTCCCTTGGAGCTGATGAGACGCATGGCGCTTTAAGCAGATCATCGCCACTCTCAAGTCCACTGCAGTAACTACAGGAGATGGCTGTGAGATCAGCAGGGCAGTACAGTATGTGCTACGGTCAACTGTATGCAGTTATAAGTTTTTTGTCAAACAATTTTAATCCAGTTAATGGTAAGCAAAGTGCAATGCCATGAAAAGCCCTGTATTTTGCGTGTTTAAACTGTTTTTCATTGTCTTTGCTTGTCAGGTTTTGAAGATGGGACCCGCTCCTGTCTTCTTTCTAGTGGTAGAAAATGGCACATATTGTTCTGGGGTGCCACTCACGCTTAACTTATGGTTTGTCCAAAGAATCTGCGAGCAGGAGGTGGTTTTGTTGTTGGAGGATCATGAGTCTGAGTGAAGCAGAGGATGCCACTTGGGAGGCACCATGCTTCCAGCCACATCCCAGAATGTTTTTGTCACTCATTTCAGTATATGTGACCCATCAGTGGTAGCCAAACGTTGCTTGTTGTCTTCATAGTATTTGTTTCCATATTTTTCCTCCCCCACTTATGTGCCAACCCTCCCATCATTTGCCCTGAAAAAAATTCATAACTAGCCATGGAGGCAGCTGTAGCTGCTGACCTGCTGCAAGCTGGGCTTCAGGACCTGCAGTCATTTGGCCTCGTCTTTCAGGCTGCGGCTATATTTATACTGCACCTTTACATTTCTCTTAACTACAAATGTGCCACGTAGTGTTTGCATGTGTAACTTTTGACCAAAAAAACTTTTTTTTTATTTTCTTTTTTGAGATGGAGTCTTGCTCTGTCCCCCACATTGGAGTGCAATGGCGCGATCTCGGCTCACTGCAACCTCCGCCTCCCAGGTTCAAGTGATTCTCCTGCCTCAGCCTCCCCAGTAGCTGGGATTACAGGTGCCCACCACCACACCCAGCTAGTTTTCATATTTTTAGTAGAGACGGGGTTTCACTAGGTTGGCCAGGCTTGTCTCAAACTCCTGACCTCAGGTGATCCACCCGCCTCGGCCTCCCAAAGTGCTGGGATTACAGGCGTAAGCCACTGCCCCCAGTAAAAAACCTTTTTTTTGGAGACAGGGTCTTGCTATGTTTTCCAGGCAGGAGTACAGTGGTGTGACCTTGGTTCACTGCAGCCTCAAACTCCTCGGCTCAAGCAATTCTCCTATCTCAGCCTCCCAAGTAGCTAGGACTACAGGCATGTGCCACCATATCCAGCTAATTGTAGAGACGAAGGTCTCACTGTTTCCCAGGCTGGTCTGAAACTCCTGGCTTCAAGTGATTCTCCCACCTCAGCCTCCCAAAGTGTTAAGATTACACGTGTGAGCCACTGCACCTAGACTAACTTCTAACTTTCTGTAATAGATTTGTGTATATTTTATGGTAGTAAATGATAAAATAGACTAGTACCTACAAATATTTTATGCGTCCATGACATACCTAGCTTTTTCTTAATTTGTTCACTATCTCTAAGGCAACACGGTTCAGTTGTGAGTTTTTTCAAATTGTCACAAATTTCAAAAAAAATTTCCAATATATTTATTGAAAAACCCACATGTAAGTGGCCCCAGGCAGTTGAGACCTGCGTTGTTCAGGGGTCAGCTGCATTTCCACTCTCCCACACCCGCTTCTCTGGGCGTTCGTTCGCTTCTTGCAGAGCTGCCACGGTTGCCCCTAGGTTGCTATTCTCTTCCTTGTGGGCCATGGCTTCCTGGGAAGTTTCAGAGAGCCGACCGAGCTGGCAGCCTACGGGCACTGCTTCCTGGGGGCTCTGCAAGGGTGCTGAGTCCTAGGTCATAGCAGAGCCCCATATGGCCATGCCCTTGTCTCAGGCACACTCCTGCTCCCCCCAGGCAGCTCATCTTCTTTCTTCTCTGGCAGGCCCAGCACCCTCCTGCTGACCTTCTTGGTCCAGGGGCCAGGAGGGGTGGTGAGCACAGATCCTAAGGGGAGGTGGCAGAGGCCTGGGCATGACCTTCAAACAAGAGCAAAGCACCGGCCCTTAACAGGGAGGAGTGGGCTTAGAGGTTTCAGGGTGTGGGGGAGGGTGGCGGGGCTGGGGTGTCCAGGTTTTCTAGAGTTCTAGAGTATCGATCCAGATGTCCCCATCCCAGTGTAAGGGTCCCACATTCCTAACTAGGACAATGACCTTGGTATGGCACACTCGGCTAGGTTGAAAGTTCTACCTTCTTGGAGCTCTGAAGCCTTAGTAACAACCCCATGCCTGATCCCTTCAGCTGTGTCCACCCTCTTGCCTGGCTGCCAAGGAGGCCTCTAACGGATCTCACATCGTGTCTTTTCTAGTGATTAGTCATGATCAGCTTTTCATTATCTTTCTCCGAGGTATCACCTATAACCCCCGCAACATCTCTCTCAAGGTCACAGTCACTCCTCCACTTACACTTCCCAAAGGCCTAGGGTACTCTATTCCCTTCCCCAGTGTCCTGCCCTGGTGCCACCACAGCGAACGTTTAACAGTTCCTCTTTACAGCTGTCCCACTTGCCACAGGTGATGGGGTCATCATGGCCAGCAGTCAGCAGCGAGCCAGCTTACAGTCGGCTTCCTGGGACCACTCCCCGCACCAAGTCTCTCGAGCCAGGTGCCCCAAAGGCAGATTTCAAAGGGCATCAGCACCACTCATAAGGGAGCAAGGGCTACTGGATTGGGCAGGCGAGAGGTGGAACTGAGATGCAGACGCAGCAGAGGCCTCAAGACGACAGCACCGGTGCAGTGGAGCCAGGATGGCTCTTTGGAGATGTCCCAAATTGAGGCAAGGGTGTTGGGGTCTCCATACTCCCATATCGACAAGTCTCCAGACATGGGCTGCCCCTGGAAGAGGGCATAACCTTGGGCAGCTCCCCTCCACTGAACACAATTCCCAGGAAGAGTCAGCTATGAGCTGGCAGCAGCTCTGAACAATGAGTGTCCAACACTCCTGGAAATGGGTCTCAGTCCTGACAGGTATCTGGAGTGTATCACAGCCTCTGTAACTGTCCGCTCAGTCTGGTCCAATCTCCCCGCTTTGGGACAGCCACAGAGAGGTCCCATACATGGTTAGCAGTGGCACACTCAGGCTTAGACTCGCCCTGTTCTCCTGCTCTAGTGTTCCTATAATGCCATAGGTTTACTAAGAAGTGGACCCAGGGGAGGGGAATCCAGGATCAACTGGATAGAGTAGGTTAAATGCAAGGAATGACAGACAGCTGCAAAGTTTAAGGAACATGCCTGTTACTGCACAAGCAAGAATCAAAAAGAAGCCACAGATTTATCTTTTTATGTTTTAAGGGACAGGGTTGGCTGGGTGTGGTGGCTCATGCCTGTAATCTTAACACTTTGGGAGGCTGAGGCAGGAGGCTCGCGTGAGCCCAGGAGTTTTGAGACCAGCCTGGGCAACATACTAAGACCCTGTCTCTACAAATTTTTTTTAAAAAAATTAGCTTGGCATGGTGGTACACGCCTGTAGCCCCAGCTACTCGGGAGGCTGATGTGGGAGGAGTGCTTGAGCCCAGGAGGTGCAGGCTGCAGTGAGCTATGATCATGCTACTGCATTCCAGCCTGAGCAATTCATAGTGAGACCATCTCAAAAAAAAAAAGAGACAGTCTTGCTATGTTGCCTAGGCTGGAGTGCAGTGGCTACTCACAGGTAAAATCATAGCTCACTGCAGCCCCAAACTCCTGGCCTCAAGCGATCATCTCTCTTCAGTCTCCTGCGTACCTGAGACTACAAGCAAAGGCCACCATGCCCGGCAAGATTTAATTTTTCTCATTTTTCAGGCAGTATCTCACTCTGTCACCCAGGCTGGAACACAGTGGTACCATCATGGCTTACTGCCGCCTCGCCCTCCCAGTCTCAAGCAAGCCTCCCACCTCAGCCTCCCTAGTAGCTGGGACTACAGGAGTGTGTCACCACGCTCGGCTAACTTTTTGTAGAGATGGGGTCTCACCATGTTGCCCAGGCTGGTCTCAAACTACTGGACTCAAGCGATACTCCTGCCTTGGCCTTCCAAAGTGCTGGGATTATAGGCATGAGCCACCGCACCCTGCCAAGATTTAAATTTTTTATTACTTGGGGGCTAGGACCTCCTTAGGCCTCTAGCTCTAGAGAGCTCGGACGGCAGTATCTATAGCTCTTGAAGATTCTGCATGTGGTTGGACTCTGTCTTGCGTTATATAAAATCATCTGTTATTACAAGTATAGAACCAGCCTAAAACTTTAAAATTCATGAGAAATGTTATCAGTAGTAATAAATCCAGAAGTAGTGAGCAAGCAGTTGTCTCTGCTACATAAAATGTAGTTAGATCTTAATAAGGATGCAAAATTCCAGTTTTTCGTCCTCAGTCTTGAAAAGTTCTGCTTTCCAGGCACAAAGAAAAGTGGAGGCCTCCACACTGATCCCACATAGCAATCTAACACGGCCTGCTGCTTCTCACCACAGCCCATGTGGTCAGGGCTTGCTTAAGGTCGCCCGCAGTGTGGAAATCCTCAGAGTAAGTCCGTTCTGCAGCCCTGCCTCCAGCAGGCAGCTGGCTGCATTTGTTTGTTTTTGCAGCAGATGGCATCTAGTTCTTCCTAATGTACGTGACCCTTCCCAGAAGACTGACAGGGTGGTGGATCCCTGAATTCTCCCCTTGTGGCGCTGGTTTCTGCTTTGGGTGGGAGTCTGAAGTTATCTTTCCCAACGTCCATGAAATGGTTTTCATGCACTAGCTAAACTCTGCAGCTCAGCTTACTGTAAGCGTGCGAAGAGCAAATTATCCATGAAGCATAAGTAAAGCCAATCTGAAGAGTGGCCAGGACATTAACTGCTTGAACGCAAAAGGGGAAGAAAAGTCCAGTCAAGACATTTGCCACCACTCGCCATTTCCTGTGCTGGCCAGGGCAGTGCCTGGAACACTGAAGTTCAGCCACTAGCTTTGGACCAAGTTCGCAGGTAGCTAACATCTTGCATCTTTCAACAGCTTTAGAGCCACATTGCCAGCTCCAGGCATCAGCTGGCTGGCCTGCAGGGAGCATTACTGATAATGCCACCAACCATGGTGTGCCATCCAACTCCAGGGGCAAGCAAGAGACCCTGGAGCTTGTCCTTGACTTACCTTGGGCATCTTCTGGGGCTGGACAGGGGAGGCGGGCAAGTCTTGTCCAGGCTGGCAGAGGTTTCAGAACAGCACAGGCCTGCACTGCAGGCTGGTTGCAGCTCACAGGCACCTGGAGGATGGCAAGAGCCACCATCCTACTAAATGCAGTGGCATATTGCTTGCTTTCAAATTTGTGGGTTTTTGTTGTTGCTGTTGTTGTTGTTTTGAGACAGAGTTTAGCTTTGTCGCCCAGGCTGGAATGCAGTGGCACGATCCTGGCACTGCAATCTCTGCCTCTTAGGTTCAAGCCATTCTCCTGCCTCAGTCTCCCAAGTAGCTGGGACTACCGGCACGTGCCACCAGGCCCAGCTAATTTTTGTATTTTTAGTAGAGACAGGGTTTTGCCATGTTGGCCAGGCTGGTCTCGGAACTCTTGACCTCAGGTGATCTGTCTGCCCAGGCAGACAGATCCCTCCCAAAGTGCTGGGATTACAAGCGTGAGCCACTGTGCCCGGCCTGCTTTTAAATTTAACATGTGCAGGCATCTGTTAACTTGCTCCTAAGCACTCCTCCCTCTTCCTGTTAACAGCACTGTTTTTTGAGACAGGGTTTCTGCTGCCCAGGCTGCAGTGCAGTGGCATGATCTTGGCTCACTGCAGCCTCAACCTCCTGGGTTGAAGTGATCCTCCCACCTTATTCTCCTGAGTAGCTGGGACCACAGGTGTGTGCTACCATGCCTAATTTTTTTTTTTTTTTTTTTTACAGAGACAGGGTCTCTCTATGTTGCCCAGGCTGGTCTCAGTGATCCTCCCACCTTGGCCTCCCAAAGTGCTGTGATTAGGCCTACGTTGTGTGTCACTTTCTTAAGAGACCTACGTTGCTACCGTGTCTACAGTAGTCTGTGGCTCACCCCAGCCTCTGCAGCCCCACTGCCCTCTCTCATTACCTGGCTTTAGTTTCTCCCTAACACTTACCTCACCTGTGTAAGAACTCCTTCCCATGAGACTGTGAGCTCTGCGGTACAGGGACCTTACCTTCCTGTACTGCCGCAATTTCTATCATATTCCCTGCCTCTAGGGCAATGCCTGGCCACAGCAGGTGCTCCCTAAACATTTGCCAAGTGAACTGTCCCTTACCGAGTCCTCCTCCATCACCCCCAAGCCTGGCTGGTGACCTGGAGAGACTCGGGGTAGTGGCAGGCTGCAGGGATCTGGAACTGCCTGGGCCTTGCCACTACTGAGGCCTGGCCATCCGATGTCTCCTTTGATTCTGAAAGTTACTGGGAACCTTAAAAATGGGCTGTAGGGAAATAATTTATAGGATTATATTAGCCAGATTTCTTTTCTATTGGCTTGCAAGTTAAGAGCCCCAACAAAACCATTATTCCAAATGACTGTCCAAAACCTTCATAAATATTTCAAATGGCTGCATCCTATCTCATGGAGTGGAAGCACCAGTTTGCTTAACCAATCCCCTAGGGCAGCAGTTTAGCATCTCATTTTCTGCGACTGTAAACAGCCATACTAAGAACACCACTGTGCTGTACCTTTTTCTATACCCAGAATCATTTTCAAGGATCGCTTCTCAGAATTGCAACTGTCCAGGCAGACACAGCACGAACATTTTAAGGAGCTTGATAACTTCTACAAAATTTCTTCCCACGAACAATCATACGGCAGCCAGCCTCCCATCCTGCAGCCAGCGCTGGGTGCCGCTCAGCACTGTGCATCTCACAGGTAGGGCCACTCACTTCTGTTCTCGTTTGTGTTTTTAGATCACTGCAGATAACGTGCATTCTTAGCCAAGAATTCACAGGGAGTCTCCGGAGTTTTCCTCCTTTACTGCGCCTTCTATGGCAAGGCCACGAACACTGTTTCCTGTGTGTCACAGATGTCTTCCCCTTTTTATTAGCATAATCTAGCTTTTTGAGTCTATCATGGCATGGTTCCTCCCTGTGGTCCCCTGAAGGCCATTCTTCTCTGCCCTTTGAGGAACTCCAGCCTCTCCCAGGCTGCCCTGCTCCCTGCTCCCAGCAAAGCAAAGCAGGGAGAGTTCTGAGGTGAGCGGCCCCATTCACCCTTTCAGTCCAGGCTCCATCATCTGGTCCCCTTTCACAGTGTGACATGCCAGAGCACATCATTCTTACAATTAAAAAAAGGGAAAACCAAGCTCTATGCTGAAAAGCAACTAAATAGTACATGGAGCAGACAGACTTCAGGGGCAAACCTAAGGGTTCTACATGAAGCACGAGAAGCACAGTCGTCCGGCCCAGCTCCCTCCATCAGCCGCATGGATGCCCGTGAGTCCCGGAGACAGGCTGCTTTCTCAGGGTGATGCTAGAGCTAAGAGAGCACAGTCGTCCGGTCCAGCTCCCCTCCATCAGCTGCATGGACGCCCGTGAGTCCTGGGGCCAGCCTGCTTTCTCAGGGTGATGCTAGCTCTAATTTAGTATCTATCAGCAGATAACAGAAGCTCCTCTGAGGCTTCAACCAAACCAGCTCCCACCCAACAATGTGCAATAAGAAAGCAGCTAAATCTATGACTCGACAAGCATTTCTTTAAAAAGAAAAAATTAAAAAACCAAGAAAAGCAAGCAGCTAAATTACAAAAGAAAACCAATCCCCAAACTTCTGCCAGCAGACCCCAGGTGACGTCAAATACAAAGGTTGTTTCCATACTAGCAAAATACTTTATTTTTATAATGATAAAACAAGGAAAGTAAAGATTTCTTTTTGGTGTATACCAGAGTTAAGGGCAGTAGAAGAATATGGGGATTAATAGGACTTTTATGAACTTTTGATGACAATAAAAAGTTAACAATACCAACCGTTTGCCATAAAACTTATCATAGCTCCCCCAAAACACACATATAAAGGATCATAGTTTTAAAATCTATAAAAGTAAAAAATATACAGTTGGAAGCTCTAGCGCTTATTCCATCTTTCATATAAAATTGTAAACATTTATTTACACAAAGCAAATGTGTATAACAAAAGTCTGAGCACCCTTTTCTTCTGAGTTGTGGCTCCTGGAAGACGGGGCTGTGCACAGAAGCAAAGTCATCTCCTCCCCTGACTCCCGAAAACCAGGTTCATAAATAAAGCCATGGGCAGCTCCCTGGGGGGACCCCAAGAATCACATTTTATTGCTATGACACTGCAGCAAGTGAGGAGCCCCCACTGTGTCGCCGGCCCCAGGACTAAGGCGGAGTGCAGGGCCAGCGAGCCCCGGGGACAGGGGTGGGAGACGGGGCAGCAGCCAGATGGGGTCAGGAGAGGAACAAGGATCCACAACCAGCCTTCAGCCGATTTTTGGGAGAAAAGCCGCTGAGGTCACCCTCTTCCCCTTCAGATTGGGGAACTCCCTCAGAGGGTGAAATTTTCACTGGCTTTATGATTCACCCCTTCTTTGAGAGCTAAACTGAGTACATGGGAAAGGTAGGGAAGGTGTTTTAAGGAGAAATGGCCGACATACCACTTGGGGTGGCAAATGGCTATTAGAAAAGAAGATCTGAGGGTCCAAGTACCCCCAGTGAGAAAGGCACTGCTGGTGCAAAATAACTACCAATGTGTGTACAACCTCTCGTCCCCTCACCGCGACTCAGGCTGGTTGCATGAGTATTTTCCTTGGCTCAATTCTCACATAGGACACTCCTGAATGATCCATTGGGAGACTCCAGGGAAACAGAAGTGGGGCTGCAGTTTCTCCACAGAACACTCTGCATCTGAGCCACTTTTCAGCATTCTCTTTTCTCTCCACCATTCTGTGTAAAAGGGTCTCACCCTGTGCTTACCACTTTGCTTTCGTTACGGGGAAGTGCTCTCTCCATCTTCGTTTTCCAAAAACAGCTCACATGTCATATTCTATTTCGTGGACCCTCAGCTTAGTCAAGTCCACTTGAATCTTTAGAAAGGATGTCTTAGTGTTATAAAGCAATCTCTTTAAGAAGTGCAAGTCATCTGACATGGGAGTGGCAGAAGTTGTCAAACCAAGTGGAATTGCTTCCTCCGGGCCGGCCTACGGCCTCCTTCCCCAAAACCTTTATGCTAAGGTTCCCTTAGGAATTCTAAGACTCTTCCTTTCCCTCCAATGGAGTAAATAATTGTTTTCCATTTGGGCTGCAGAGAGGAAGGAGAGGCAGACAGAAAGGCCAACGGTAAAGGAAAGACATCTGTGCACAACTGCACAGTGACCACGCTCCCACCATGGGCAACATACATGTTCAGAGAAAACTGCAGAAGGTGGGGAGACATAATACTCCAGGATACAGGACCCCCACATCTCTACCTTCCATATGTAGCCTGGGGTCCTGCTGCCAGGACATGGGAGGAAGGGATTCCTGGGGGCCTTGGGAGGGAGGAGGAGGAGCTGCTAGGAAGACCCTAGCTGTGTCACCAGACCTGCTATCCCATGCCTCCTGTCCCTTTTTGGCATACGCAGTCAACAGCCTGCACTTAGGGAAATAATTTTCCAGTGGCCTCCTTCTCCCCTGAAAGCTGACAAAGAGCAGAAACAAAAAAGGCTCTTAATCAAAAGGAAACCCTAGGTTTCCAATGCCACTTAATTGATTTAAACCATCACCTACCCTAATCTGTTTAAAAACCTTTTGTAAAAAAATTTAAAAATCTTTTCTATGCTACAAATTGCAAATAATTCTGCTATCTAAAGTTTCAACAGAAACTTGTCCCCAGCACTGGGGTAAGTGGAGCAGTCTTGGATAAAATCACCATGATGGCACAGATTTTTATAAGCCCGACAGTGTGGGGTTTCACTGGTGTTACTGTTGGTTTTTTGGTCGTTTGGATAGAAAACCACCTTTAGAACCCTATCCTGCTGTCCCAACACCAGGTACTGATGCCAGCAGATGGGCTGGGGCCAGCCCGATGGACCTCAACTGCTGGCCTGAGGGGCGCAGCCACAGACCCTGCCCAGGGCCAGGCCTCACCTGGAGCTTGGGCTCTACCTGCCCAGCTCCCCAGGCCATGGGCTTTTGGTCCAAAGTAGTTGCTCTTTCTTTGAATCTGAGAATAAAAATATAGGATGAATGAACACTAAAAACACTACAAATCCTTCCATTACTGAGACCCTAACAGGTCGTCCAAATCACTCATCCACTCCTCTGAAGTCCTGTTCTTCAGCAGGGAGTCGATCAGATCGGTGTGTCCAGCCACACTAGAGAGCCCACTGCCACCTGGCTGCCCGCTATAGGCAAAAGGCAGCTCCTGGCCCGCGGTCCGCACAGGGTAGGCCTGGGTGCAGTGCAGCCCCGCCCGACCGCCCATCTGTGAGGCAGGGCTCTGGCTGAAGGCCCCCAGCTCAGGCCCTGCTGGGCTCAGGCCAGGCAAGCCCTGCTGAGGGGCTGTTGGGGGTGGTGCTGGGGCAGGGGCGCTGGTCCTCTGCTGTGCACTCACTGGGGGTAGCAAGGACCCCACGGCAGCTGCTGAGCTCATGGGAGCCATGGGCCTGTTGGGCACTGCCTGGGAGAATTGCGGGCTAGACATTTTCAGGTGGGCCTGCTGCTGCATGTGGAAACTGGAGGCTGCAGTGAAGGGACTCACGTTGCTGTTCCCTGGGGTCTGGCCACTGAGGTTCGGCATTCCCTGATGCTGCCAGGAGGAATTCTGGCCTCCCATGGCTGGTGACACCCTTGGGACCGGTGGCTTTGTTAAACCAGGGTTCAGGGTCCCCTTATTGTGCTGCTGGGAGAGGCCAGAGCTTCCCAGAGAGTTCTGCCCATAGGCAGCTGAGACGGAGGTGTTCTGGCCCACGTTGGTCTGCCGTGGAATGTGGGCATGTCCATTGGTGGCCTGTGGCGGGGGCTGGGCAACTATCTGGGTTATGCCAGAAGCCATGCCATAGAGGCTGCTCTGAGGCATGTTTTGGGAGCCAGGGAACTGAGCCACACCCCGGTCCTGTTGGCCTGAGTTTGTGGGGAGAGAGGAAACTGAAGCATGTCCAGGGCCCATTGGCATCAGATTCCCAGCCTGAGGGAACACTCGAGGACAGCTGGAGTTGGATGGACCCAAGGTGTTCATGCCGGGCACGGCAGCAGAGGACCCTACAAGACAGAGAAGAGTCTGGCAGTCAGGAGTCGACCACCACTGGGTCCCTCTGAGACTCGAGCCGCAGCACCAGAAGTCTCACGTTCACGGCACACTGGGAAGAGGGCCCCGGGGGCCATGGGGCAGAAAGCCTTCCACAGGTGGAATGGAGGCCTGGTCTCTGAAACAATGATGGGGTTCAGAAAGGCACAGAGGAAGGGCAAAGCCCCAGGGGAGAGAAAACCAGTGACCTACTTCATCTAACTTTCAAGCACCCACCAAATTTCTGCTCTGTGGGGACCCTGTGGTGGGCACCGGGGACTCTGAGGTGGACCCAACGCAAGATCCGCCTCTGGGAGGCAAAGTTAGCACATGGCACGATGGGGCGCAATGGGGCGCGATGGGGCGCGCCTGGCCAGCAGGCTGCAGGGTGCAGGCTGGAAGCCCTGGCATCTGGGAAGCCTTGGGCAAGGCTTGAGAGAGACAGTGATGAATCCACTAGGTTTAAAAGCACAGAAGTTTAGCAATTTAACAGTTTGGGGAAAAAGAGCATTCCAGGCAAGTGTGTGCAAAGGCAGAGTCAGAAAAAGGCATCTGTGTGGGGAACTTTCAGAGACTGGCCGTGGCCGGGATATGCAGACAGTGGCCAGCTGGTTAGAGATAAAATGGAAGAGCTAGTTCCGGCCAGATAGGGAAGAGCTGTGGATGGCGTGTGAAGAACGGGGTTGTGGCCGGGCGCGGTGGTTCACGCCTGTAATCCCAGCACTTTGGGAGACCGAGGCGGGCGAATCACGAGGTCAGGAGATCAAGACCATCCTGGCCAACATAGTGAAACCCTGTCTCTACTAAAAATACAAAAATTAGCCAGGCGTGGCGGCGCGCGCCCCCAGCTACTCGGGAGGCTGAGGCAGGAGAATTGCTTGAATCCGGGAGGCGGAGGCTGCAGTGAGCCGAGATCATGCCACTGCACTCCAGCCTAGGCGAAAGAGCAAGACTCTGTCTCAAACAAACAAACAAAGAACAGGGTTGTAAAGCCCAAGAGTGGCTGGACTGAGAGTGTGGCTGAGACCATGCTGGGGAGAGGCTGTTCAGTCACGGAGATGAGGGAGGGCAGACCATGTGGGAATGGGGGGTGGAGGTGCAGAACTGTGTGACAACATCTCACCAGACAATATACCATCTTATGGCACACCATTTATACTATGAAATGACAAGGTGGCCAAAGGAGGGAGGAGTCGCAGGAAATTACCAGATCTTCACTGAGTACCCACTCTGTGGCAGGTGCTGTGCTGGAGAGACAGCAGAGGGTGGAAGAGAAAGCACCCCTATGCTCAGGGAACTGCTGTCTAGGCCTCCTGGCTTAAGCAATGGACATATGACAACACCATTAACTGAATTAGGTTTTGTGGGTAGGAGAGTCATTGTTCAGGGATTGGCCGTAACTCAGTGCTTTGTTCTTCTTCCTCTCTACTAGCAACCATATAATAAAAATTGGGGCCGGGCACGGTAGCTCACACCTGTAATCCTAGCACTTTGGGAGGCCAAGGCGGGCAGATCACGAGGTCAGGTATGTGAGATCAGCCTGGCTAACATGGTGAAAGCCCATCTCTACTAAAAATACAAAAATGAGCCGGGCGTGGTGGCAGGCGCCTGTAATCCCAGCTGCTTGGGAGGCTGAGGCAGGAGAATCGCTTGAACCTAGGAGGTGGAGGTTGTAGTGAGCCAAGATCGTGCCACTGCACTGCAGCCTGGGCGACAGACCAAGACTCTGTTTCAAAACAACAACAATGAAATTGGGTTGAGGAAAAGAGGAGAGCTGAAACCGGCTATTTCATTCCCATCAATAATCCACAAAATGTCAGATGGGTCTGAAGGCAGAAAACATGGGTCAGACCCATGCTTCTGAAATGCCTGCAGATTTCAACCCCACGTTGACCCCAGGTAGCACATACATAAAACCGTACCTGGTCTCCTCCAGGACACACAGCTGTGGTCAGTCTCTCTGGGACCCTTTATAGCAAGGTCCCAAATAAGGAAAAACAGAGGTTTCTAAGACATTCTGAGAGGAGCTAGGAAGGCGGGCAGACCAGAGCTTCCTGTATCCATTCCCTGAAATCTTTGTGCATTTCTGGAGGGATGGCCTATGAAGTTCCCTGGCACATCTCAGAGGCGACAGCTAGACTCAAGTGTGCTTCCTGCCCTTTTCTGGCCAACTGTCCACTAGTGATGCTGCCATCTGTGATATTCAAGTGAGCAGACAGGAGGAGAGAAAGAAGCCAAAGGCCACGCAAGTGCATTAAGTCCTTATCTGGAAGATAGGAGTCATTTTTTGAAGACACATAAAAGCAGAAGCAAAGAACTTTCTTGAGAATTACAGAAGCTATTTCCTGCTGATAAGATGTCCTCCAACTAGAAATGATTTTGCTTCAGAAAACTGTACAGCCAGGGACCCAGCAAAGGTAGTTCTAGTGGTTTGCCTCTGTGCCCTCTTCTCCTGATGCCGTGGAGTAACTAGAAAACCAGGCCCCTTAGGCAAACTGAGGTGTATATGATGACAATGCATGCAGCCTGATGAAGTCAAGGCATAGAGCTGGGCAGACAGCAGGGATTCAACCAGCACCAGGCAGCGGCCTCCCCTGTCCCTGCTCGTCACACAGACACCCCCTACCTGTGAACTGTCCAACCTGCTGTGGGAAGCTGCCTTGTGTCGGGTCTTGGTACTGGGGTGGTGGGCGGGTCAGATGGCGCTGAAACTGTTGCTTCTCCTAGAAAATGCCAAGAACAACAAAACAAAACCAACATATAACAAAATCCAAAACAAAGGGAGTGAGGGAGGTCAGAGAAAAGTAACTTATCCAAGTTTGTTACTCACAAATGGGCTCCTGTGGAAATAGTGCTGATTTCATTTTGGGGTTTTTAAATAGTATGAAACAGATCTAGGGAGCAATGACTTTTTTAAAAGGTAGGTATACCTGTTTTTAAAAAATGGAGAGCTGGTTAGGAAAATGCAAATCACAGCTACAATGAGATCCCACTAGGATGGCCAGAATCAAAGTCAGATGATAACAAGTGGTTGGTGAGGATGTAGAGAAATCAGCACCCTCATACACCGCTGGTGGGAATGTAAAATGAGACAGCCTGTGGGAAACAGTCTGACAGTTCCTCCAAAGGTTAAACATAAAAATTACCATGTGATCCAGCAATTCCACTCCCAGGTATCTACCCAAGAAAAATGAAAACAGATGTCTATATGAAAACTTGTACATGAATGTTCATAGCAGCAATACTCATTAACAGCCCAAACAAGAAACCCAAATGTTCATGAACAGACGAATGAATAAAATGTAACATGTCCATACAATGGAATATTATTATCAAGAGGAATCAATTGCTGTTACCTAGCACATGATTGAAAATGACATAACATAAATATAAAATGTCCAGAACAGACAATTTTTTTTTTTTGAGATGGAGTCTTGCTCTGTCGCCCAGGCTGGAGTGCAGTGGCGCGATCTCTGCTCACTGCAAGCTCCCCTCCCAGGTTCACGCCATTCTCCTGCCTCGGCCTCCCGAGTAGCTGGGACTACAGGCGCCCGTCACCACACTTGGCTAATTTTTTGTATTTTTAGTAGAGACGGGGTTTCACTGTGTTAGCCAGGATGGTCTTGATCTCCTGACCTCGTGATCCGCCCACCTCGGCCTCCCAAAGTGCTGGGATTATAGGAGTGAGCCACTGCGCCCAGCCCAGAGCAGACAATTATAGAGACAGAAAGTAGATCAGGAGCTGGAGAGGCAGGGTGGATGGGAGAATGGCTGCTCATGGGTATGGGATTTGTTTTAGGGTAATGAAAATGTTCTAAAATGGATTGTGGTAATGGTTGCACAACTCTGTGATATACTAAAAATGACTAAATTGTTCACTTACGTGGGTGAAGTGTATGCTGTGTGAGTTACATCACAATAAAGCTGCTTTTCTTAAAGGCAGAACTGAGGCAGGGATTGTCCTCAATGAACCTCACTGTCTGGAGCCAGTTCTTATGTCTTAAAGATGTAATTTAAGGCCAGGCGTGGTGGCTCACGCCTGTAATCTCAGCACTTTGGGAGGCCGAGATGAGTGGATCACTTGAGGTCAGGAGCTCAAGACCAGCCTGGCCAACGTGGTGAAACCCCATCTCTACTAAAAACACAAAAATTAGCCAGGCATGGTGGTTCTTGCCTGTAGTCCCAGCTACTCGGGAGGCTGAGGCAGGAGAATTGCATGAACCCATGAGGTGGAGGCTGCAGTGAGCCAAGATCGCACCACTGCAGTCCAGCCTGGGTGACAGCAAGACTCTGTCTCCAAAAAAAAAAAAGAACTCTCACTTGTAACCCTTAGTGCCTGCACACTACACTTGCTAACCAAGCGAGTGAACTGTGTTTCCCTCAGGGATGACTTCACTTCCCTCTTCACGTTCTGGCTTATAACAGGCTCTGTAGTGGCAGCAAAGCTGACTCCATAGTGGAATGACAGACACGTGAGCTCAGTGGCTTGGAAGCTGCTGACCTGAAACATAGGAAAATGTCCCTTCCACAAACAGTTTTAGCCCCCGAGTCTGCCTTGAGTACTCTCCACTAAGTGACACGAAGCAGCTTCTGACAAGACTACCCCTGTCTGAGAAATGCCACATTCCTGGAAAGATGTTTTTAAAAGGCAAAGCACTCTAACAACAGGCACGCAAGTCTGCGCAAATCCACACGCACAAGCAGAAGGTGTGACTGTAGCAGTGACGCAGGGTGCAGGCAAAGGTGGGAAGCGGTGGTTTCCTTCCACTTTTCTTTTTACCTGTTCCGCGAGAAGGTGCTGTTGCCTCTGAAGGAACTGCTGTTGCTGTAAATGCTTTTGCTGCTGCTCCCTTTGTTTCTGTTGGTCCAAAAGCAACTGATGCTGCTTCATTACAGCGGCCTGTTGCTGGCTGCTGAGATAGGGGGAGCTGTTGTGGGAGCTGGCCACGGACACGGCAGGCGGCTGGGTCCCAACACTGGTAGCCTGGGCTTGCACAGGGACACTGGAAGGGTTCTGCTCCTGTCAACACAGATAGGGGACTGTGAAGTCTCTAAGCTCTGATCAGACCAAATAAGCTCCATCCAGTGAATTCAAGGTTCACTCTCTTGAAGCCAAGTCTCTGCTTCCCTTCTGACCTCGAATAACAACCATCCCACAGGGCTGGAGCACAGACCAAAAGTGATGACATCTGAGCATACAGGCGCCTAGCAACGAACAATTACTCCATAGGTGTTAGTTTTACTCCCAGTGATTCACCAGTGACAAAGGTATGGTTTTACGTTAAGCATATGTAAGCTTTCATATTTGCACACAATAGTTCCAGTAAGCAATCGAGGCTTAGAAATGCTCACTTATCAGGACATCTGAGTGCAGAGCGGGCCAATAGGGGAAGAATACTTTTTGTTTTTTTTCAGACGGAGTTTCGCTCTTGTTGCCCAGGCTGGAGTGCAATGGCACGATCTTGGCTCACCGCAACCTCTGCCTCCCGAATTCAAGCGATTCCCCTGCCTCAGCCTCCTGAGTAGCTGGGATTAGAGGCATGTGCCACCACACCTGGCTAATTTTGTATTTTTAGTAGAGATGGGGGTTTCTCCATGTTGGTCACGCTGGTCTCGAACTCCCGACCTCAGGTGCTCCACCCACCTCGGCCTCTCAAAGTGCTGGGATTACAGGCATGAGCCACTGCACCCGGCCTAGGGGAAGAACACTTTGAAGGGGGCTTTGGTCAATGGAGACCACTCTGTCCCATGTGCATAAACCTTGGATTTCGGGCTATCCCTGAACGACCCGAAACTGTACATCTGCGCAAGCATTTTACTGGAAGAGACTGCTTAGCTTTTGTCAAATACCCATCCTCAAAAAATACTGAGAATCAATGAGAACTTTAACAGATATTCTCTGTCAATATATAGACCACAAGTGAGAGTCATGTCAAAGGCCACCACAATATTATCCCGTCATTACTGACACTTAGAAGAAAAGGGGAACTTAGCAGAAGATAGGCAAAAAGCAATCATTATTTAAACCAGTTCAAATTGTTGAGCTCCTTTCTAGTTATTCATTCTAAGATTCTGGTATAATTTCTTCACTCTAATCACCAGAAGCTTAAGAACTACTGAGAGTGCTTCGTAAGTTGCAAAGTGCTACCCAGATGGCAAGCACCCTCACTGTGTGCAGCTGAGCCTCTCTTCAGGGGGTGCTGAACGGCGTGAGACATCTTACTGGCTGAAGTAAGTGGAATTATCAGCACTGGGAGATGCTTAAATGGCTTACAGTTTTTGGCTATTAGAAATAACCACACAATGAATATCTTGGATATAACTTTTTCTTTTATTTTGGATTATTTCTTTAGATCAACTTGTCGGGTATATAGTGTGTCAATGCATATGAACATTTTACAGCATGTGAAAAATACATAATGTCAAATGACTTCCCAAAAGCAGTGAGCTCATTTACACACTCTCATCAATACAGGAGTGTGTCTATTTCCTCATGATATTACCGGCACTGGGCTTTTTAATTTGCAAAATTTTAGCATGTATTACAAATTCACGTTCACTGCAGGCTTATCTGCACTAGCGGAAAACAGGAAACAACCCGAAGGGCCATTTTCCATTTGATGCTACCGGGCTTTAGAACCATGATGAAGTAAGCACAGAGCTGAGCTGTGCTGGGAAGCAGCACATGCCTACAATGTTATAAGCTTACCAAAAATTAGGGAATTTTGTACATGGAGATCTGAAAGGTAGTAAAAAAAAAAAAAAAAAAAAAAAGCCAAGCCTCTAAGAAGCACGTGAAACGTAATGTTTATCTGCAAAACACAGTCGCAAATTACTTAATTTAAATCCTACGGCACGAAAGAGACAGTGGACTAAATGCAGGTGATTCCTGAAACCTTCGTGCAGTTAATAATCAAGCTATGCCAGGGAACTTTACCCTATTTTTTATTAACAATCAACCCTGGTTTATTTTATAAATTTCCACTCCCAAGAGGAGCAAGGATGACAGCAGCTATTCCCTCCTCCCTCTTCCCACAACTACCTCGGATCCAATTAACATCCAAAGTAGTGAGTAACCTCACTGAAGTGTCTGCAGCAGAGGAACAGAAAGCAAAGGCTCATACTTACCTGGCCAGGTGGAACCAGTGATCGGAAAGGCATATTTCCTGGCTTTGGCTTCATCAGAAACAGGGAGTTCTGCTCGTGACTTATATGGGACAGCTGCTGGGGAAGATAAGCCATCAGGGCTGGCTTGCTCTGGCCAGACCCCGGGCTGCCTTGCCCACAGTCCGCTTTGTAATGAGAAAGGGGTTTTGTATTGCCGTAGTCCAGCACAGACCCCTGGTTATTCGCGGAGTTCTGATTCAAGTTACTCGGTGGCTGGTGACTCAGCAGGTTCACATGGCTGGGCTGGAGGTAGGGGCCTCCGGGCCGAGGGGAACTCTTATTCACACTAGGCATCATGAGCAGTTTGGAGTTAGTGAAGTCTTGCTTGTAGCTGGAAGGGCTGGCAGGCTTCTCCATGGGGTAAGGGACATCTAAGGAACTGTGGGAGGGCCCCGTCTGCTGCCATGTGGACATCTGGCCCGGGGCTGGTGCCGGGGTGGCCTGCTGTGGGTTCTGGAGCATCTGCTCGCGCTTCTGCTTGGCAGCGATCTGCTGGAGCTGGTGGGCAGAGGACAGCTCTGAGGCCCCTCCTGGGCCCTGACTGGGCAATACCACACCTGCAAGGGCTCTTTGTGCGTTCTGGGCCTGGGCTGATGCCGGCATCAGGTTTGGACTGGGATTGTCCGCCCGGGGCTGACCAGAGGTGTGGAATAAGGTTTGGGAGCCCCCTAGGCTGGGGGAATCTGTACTCACAGGGGCAGAGGAAGGCCCCAGAAAGGTCTGCCCTGCAGACCCGGCCCTCACTTGTGGAGAGCCTAACTGTTCTTGCTCAAAGGCTGCTGGAGAGAATTCCGTCTTAATATTAATGTCCTGTGCCAAGGGGGTTTGTGTGGCAGAGCCAGAAGACTCTGGGTCCTTCTTCTCCTCGAAGTCCTCATTAAACAGGTCCTTCATGTCTTCATCGGGCACCGACCTGTTCAGCTCCTCGATGAGCTCCTTCCACTCCTGCTCGTTAAGGTTGAGGTCTGGCATGAGGTTGCTTTGCGATATGGAGCCGACAGTCCCAGTGATCATGCAAGGCAGGTCTTCGACAGGCTCCTGCTTCAGTTCTTTATTCAGGCTCAGAGGAAATGACTCACTGGGGTTACTGCCTCCATTCAAGTGAAGGCTGGAGTCAGCCAGACGCTTTTTGTTGAGAGAGTCTAGCCCCAGAGAGTGCTTCCCACTGGACTGCAGGGCGTCGGCTCCAGAAGGCTTGTCAGACTGACCGAGGGGGGAGGCTGGAGGCAGTCCATTGGAAGAGATGGCAACTCCCAGAGGGGCCTCCCGGCGAGTCTTCTTATGCCCAGGAAAGAGGTCCCCGTAGCCATTCTGTTGATCGCCATTCTGAGGGGAAGTGGCGCTGTCAAGATTCCTCTTAACTGTATCATGAAGATGCTGAAAAACATTGAAAAGAATGACTTAAGATACATATGAATTTGCTCTGCTATGACAGTAACAAGCCAAGGGCTGATGTCCCTGCAATGCTCGCCAGTGGGTTCTGCTTGCATAGTGTACACTCCCATTTCTGGGGACACACCTCCATTTTCCCTGACGGTCCTATACCTGGCCAGTCAGAACTGATGTCTAGCTAAAGTGCTTCTGCAGTCCTCTTTCTGCAGGAGACAGGCATGAGGCTGCCCACAGCCATCTCGTCTGGCGGTATGCCCAAGAATGGAGCCAACAAAAAAATGCCAGAGAGTACACACACACACACACACACACACATATATATATTATATATATATATATGTTTTGAGATGGAGCCTTGCTCTGCCGCCAGGCTGGGTGGAGTGCGGTGGCACAATCTCAGCTAACTGCAACCTCCGTCTCCTGAGTTCAATCAATTCTCATGCCTCAACCTCCCAAGTAGCTGGGATTACAGATGTGCACCACTGTGCCTGGCTAACTTCCGGTATTTTTTGGTAGGGACGGGGTTTCACCATGTTGGCCAGGCTGGTCACAAACTCCTGGCCTCAAGTGATTCACCCGTCTCAGCCTCCCAAAGTGCTGGGATTACAGGCATGAGCCACTGTGCCCAGCCCCTCACTTTTTTTTTTTTTGAGACAGAGTTTCGCTCTTGTTGCCCAGGCTGGAGTGCAATGGCGTGATCTTGGCTCACAGCAACCTCCGCCTCCAGGGTTCAAGCCATTCTCCTGCCTCAGCCTCCAGAGTAGCTGGGATTACAGGCATGTGCCACCATGCCCAGCTAATTTTGTATTTTTAGTAGAGACGGGGTTTCTCCATGTTGGTCAGACTGGTCTTGAACTCCAGACCTCAGGTGATTTGCCCACCTCAGTCTCCCAAAGGGCTGGGATTACAGGTGTGAGCCACTGCGCCCGGCCGGCCCCTCACTACTTCTTATTGGGACTATTTGCTTGAACATAATCTGTCTGGTGTGACACTGTGACTCTGCTTCCCATCTGCTCCTCGATGGATTCATGCCACTGAAGTTATTAAGATTCTGCCTTGTGCCAGAGACAAGTGCTGTGGGGAACATAAAGACAAAGAAGACAGCTCCTCCTCGGGTGGGCTTTCAGGACATGGGACATACACAGACAGGGCTACAGAGTGAGAGCAGCACACAGTAAGTACCCTGGGAGTTCAGGGGCGGCGATTTCAAGATAAGAACATGTCAGAAGGGATGGGAAGGGGACAGAAGACGGACTCCTTCTACTGCTTCCTCACCTGCATGTGCTGCAGTCAGGACTCAACTCCACTGCTCAGAGGGAGTGCCTATGCTCAGCTTCCAAACACATGCTGCTCCTTTCCTGTGTTTACTTTATTACGTTTTTGTCCTTTATCCCCCACCCCCAGTACCATCCCCCCTTCCCATAAACCCTAAGCATCTATAGCATGTTATTAGAAAATGTTCCAAGTAACAGCCCTCATTATTATCTTTAGACAGGATTCAGAGGAGACGGGGAGCCCCCTGTGCTAGCTTCTCCGGCTGCAGAGAAAGGCCACCTGACTCTCCACACCAACCCCAGGGGCCCAGGTGAAGTGCCCTGGCCTGGGCGTCCTGCCTGGGGCAACTCCACGGGCATCAGTTCTCAACAGCAGATTACCCACTGGACACCAGGGAGGACCATTTTCTCAACCTCTAATCCCCAATTCTAATGTTCCTGTTCTTCTTTTCCCCACATCAAGATTTGCTTATTTCTTAACTGTTAAAGCTGACTACACAGTGCTCTATAAATCCTAGCCAAGTCAGTATTTTTAAAAATCCATATATGGGTAACTAAGTCGGTCTGAAAAAAAAAAAAAATCGCAGGAATGCCTGACAAATGGAACTGCAGGGCAGAGGTAAGCAACAATCCTAGGATTCAGAACACCGCCCCACAGCTGCAGGACGTTTGCTTTACTTTCATGCAGGTTCTTCTGCTTTCTCCTGCCACCTAGGGGTGGAAGGGAACCACGCACATAAAATAGACCCTTTATAAAAAGCCATTATTTGAAAAGTTTTCCTTGTGGAAGGTAAATTCATACCCATTTAAATGGTCAGAGGAAATAAAAATTAGTTGCTAACATTTCCTTGATTTTCATCTTTTCTACCATTTTCTTTTGTTCCACAGTGCCAGGTCTGGGCTATCTGTAAACCTGGGAGCTCAGTTTTCCATCTTCCTAGGGGAAAAAGAAAGATGGAAATCTAAAGGGTCAAGGCACTTGATGAGTCAGCTGGTTGTCTCAGATTAGAAACAGAATCTTTCTTTGCCCTAACAATTACAAAAGCTACCACTCCCTCATTCAATATTCACATGCAAACAGCTGCAGACAAGTTCCAATGTAACAACTGAATTTTGTAATACCTATTGCTTTTAACCAAAGGAAACAGTAGGGCATTTTGTCAACTACTCACAAAATTTAACTGGAATAACGTAGACGGGGATAGGAGTGTGTAATGTGGTGGCCCCGGCAGATTTTTAAGCCCTGAGCATTTGCAGGAGTGTCTGATATGCAGGGCAAGGATGAGTGAGCCTTGGAGCCTGAACTCAAAGAATCACAATAGAGATGGGCAAACAGCCTGAACAGATTAAAAGTTATGTAAGAACAGACACAGAAGGTGCTATAAAGCAATACTAGACTGGCTGCCACGTATAAATACAGGAGCCTGCTCCAGCACATCTGGTACTTCTGGGTGCTCAGCTCAAAGGTTCCTGTTGTAACTACTGAAGAGTTTCTGCAGTGTACAGGGTTCCAGGAGGACCCAGTCCTGGGAGATAATATGATCAGATGCTCGTGGTCGGCTGGAGAACCACGTGTGCTCAGCCTTCCACCAAGACACCCCGCTGACCTAAGTCCCATCCTAGCCTGTGCCAGCTCCCTCGCTGGGAGGCCACACTCTCCAGGCGCCACCTGCCATCCTCTGCTCTGGGAGAGGAGCTCCAGGATACCACCACTGCTCTGAATCAAGCTGGAGCTGGCCACACCTTTTGGACTCCTAAGCAGCATCCTGTCAGTCTCTCACCCACCATGCACTAGCCTTATAGGAAGGATAATCCTTTGCCTATCTCCACTTCCTCCTTCTTCAACCACCCACCGCTGCACTCCCAGAATGCTTTGTGGCCAAACTCACCAAAAAATGACAATACCTACATGCTTCCACTCTGAGCTGACAGACACAGCTGCTGAAGACACGCGTGGTTCTTTCATGAGTGCTCCTTACACACTGGCAGCCAATGCCCCTTTCTAGCCCTACTCATCAGGAAATTTGCTTTTCCTCCTGCCTCCTCTTTTTTACCTCTTCTATCATCTTCCTGTCAGCCAAACTCCACCAGTTCCCACCCCTTAGAGCCAGCACCTTGATCTATGGCAATATGGATTACATTCCTGGCCAATCTGGAAATCAATGGGATGTGGGGAAAAGGAAGGGAGGAGTTGAGAACTGCTTTCTCCAAGGCCAGCAATGATCTTCCTACTGTTACACATAGGCCATATTTTCAGTCCTTCCTTTCCCTCTCTCCCTGCACTCCCTTCCTCTCCCTCTTATCATCTGCCACTTAATAATTCATCTTTATTATTATTATTGAGACGGAGTTTCACTCTTGTTGCCCAGGCTGGAGTGCAATGGTGCAATCTCGGCTCACTGCAACCTCTGCCTCCCAGGTTCAAGTGACTCTCCTGCCTCAGTCTCTCGAGCAGCGGGGATTACAGGCGTGCACCACCATGTCCAGCTAATTTTGTATTTTTAGTAGAGATGGGGTTTCGCCATGTTGGCCAGCTGGTCTCAAACTCCTGACCTCAGGTGATCCGCTCACCTCGGCCTCCCAAAGTGCTGGGATTACAGGTGTGAGGCACCTCACCCAGCCCTTTATTAATTTTTTTTAAGAGACAGGGTCTCACTCTGTCACCCATGCTGGAGTACAATGGGTGATGATCAAGGCTCATGGCAGCCTCAAACTCCTGGGCTCAAGTGATCCTCCCGCCTCAGCCTCCTGAGTAGCTGGGACCACAGGCATGAACCACCATAACTGGCTAATTTTTTTGCTTTTGTGGAGACAGGAGTCTCACTATGTTGTCCAGGCTAGTCTCAAACTCCTGGGCCGAAGCGACCCTCCTGCCTCAGCCTCCTAAAGTGCTGGGATTACAGGTGTGAGCCATTGCACCTGGCCTCCTTCCATCTTTTTTTTGAGACGGAGACTCGCTCTGTCACCCAGGCTGGAGTGCAGTGGCGCGATCTCGGCTCACTGCAAGCTCCACCTCCCGGGTTCATGCCATTCTCCTGCCTCAGCCTCCCAAGTAGCTGGACTACAGGCGCCTGCCACCACGCCCGGCTAACTTTGTTTTTGTATTTTTAGTAGAGACGGGGTTTCACTGTGTTAGCCAGGATGGTCTCGATCTCCTGACCTTGTGATCTGCCCACCTCGGCCTCCCAAAGTGCTGGGATTACAGGCATGAGCCACTGCGCCCGGCCTGCTTCCATCTTTAAAGTTCCCTTTTTCTTTACCACTTTTCTTGTATCCTCTTCTGCTTTTATGGTTGGTTGTTTCTAGTATCCTTTGAGAAGTCTCCCCTTCTCCTGCCCTTCTATCAAATAGTACAGTCCTCTCCCCCTTTTACTCTACATAGTCTACCTGAGAGATTTCACACATTCCCATGCCTTCAAATTCCCATGACTGAACATCACACTCAAATAAACCCAACTGTCTGGGAACCAAACGCTGATCCACTCAGCCCTTGTCCCTTCCAACTTCCCTCATAGCCCTCCCTGCTGTGCAGCATGCTGGGGTCATGCGGCTGGCTTACAGCTTATAGCTTCTCAAATGTGCCTGCTCAGTGCTGCCTGGGGCCTCTGCACCTGCTCTTCTCTTTGCCCAGAGCACCTCTTCCCTCTAACTTTTCTGGGGATGACTCAGCTTCTAATTCAGGTGGCTTATCTCCTCCATCATCCACATCACCTACCACCCACACCATAGTACTTTCTTGCTGATCCCCTCACCAGAGGCACTCATCTAGTGTCAGGGCCTAACCCGACACTAGAATGCCAAGCAGAGACCCCAGTGCCTTCGACAGTGCCCAGCACTTGATAAGTGTCTGTGAATAAATGTGCCATCTGATGCCCCACCTCTGCAGAGCTCTTACTTCTGTCTATCCGAAGACCTACTGAGCCCCTGTCCACTTGAGTGATGACTCAGATGACATCTGTCCAAAGCTGAGGCCAGCCTCTCCCCAGTCCTGTTTCCTTTCCTCTGTTCCCACATAAGACTGTCACTACCAGCCGCCCTGTCACATAAACCAGAAACCAGCCTCCCTCCCGCTCCTCCTTAGTCCCTACATACAACTGGTACCCAAGTCCTGTAGAGTCTACCTCCTTAATATTTCTTGAACCCACCCACTTCTCTCCATTCATTAACACACATATCTCTCACTTGAATTATTTTAACCATGTGTTGAGATCCTGCCCTCCCAACCTGTGTTCCTCATCAGAGTCAGAGGGACTCCACCAGCGTGGCTCACTGGGACTCCACGTGAGGGTAGGACTTACAACATCAGAAGTTTTTAAGGCAATAATTGTTAACTATTGGCAATTCCAACCCAATCCCATGGTCAACATTTCTCTCCCAGTCCCTGTATGTCCACAGGACACTCGGGAGCCCTGACCCTCTCTTCAGGTAAAGTAGGTCCATTTCATGAAACACTCAAGTTTTCAGTGACTTGAGGAAGGGAAATCCATGTCAAGTAGCAACTTGTTAATTTGATAAAGCACAAATCTGAACCAAGTGCTGTAGGAAGAAGTCCTGACTTAAGTCATGTGCTTGCTGACCCCTCATTTCCAGTTACTTATGATGTATTCCCAGTTAATCATTCTTAACCTATTATTCCCAGTGAATTCAGGATCTCACTCAACCTTCAAAACAACCCTAGAGGATGAGCATCATTGTTCCTGTTTTATTGCCACTGAAACTGAGAAAATTACACAAGGTTTCCTGAGGTTTGATGTCTCAAGAAGGATCCCTTCTGAATGCTGGGGTCTGCTGCCGACAGACTCCCTTTGTCAGAACAGACTTGGTGAATTGATCCCACTTCCGAGAGTGATGCCGAAAGAGAAGCTTGCATGTCAAACACCAGCAGCAGGACAGAGTGAGTCAGTTTCAAACCGTACAAATAGGAGCACCTTCGTGAAGCGCAGATACCCAGCAGCTGTCATTACCAGAAAAATGAACTGTGCTGTGAGGAAATCCCACATACCAGCGCCACAAACAATCTTTGTAATTTTTTTTTTTTTGAGTCGGAGTCTTGCTCTGTTGCCCCAGTTGGAGTGCAGTGGCACGATCTCAGCTCACTGCAACCTCTGCAGGTTCAAGCTATTCTCCTGCCTCAGCCTCCCGGGTAGCTGGGATGACAGGCGTGCGCCACCATGCCTGGCTAATTTTTGTATTTTGAGTAGAGACGGGGTTTCACCATGTTGGCGAGGCTGGTCTTGAACTCCTGACCTCAAGTGATCTGCCCACCTTGGTCTCCCAAAGTGCTGGGATTATAGGTGTGAGCCACCGCGCTGGGCCAGTAAAATATTTTTAAAAAAGAAAAAAAAATGGTCGGGTGTGGTGGCTCACGCCTGTAATCCTAGCACTTTGGGAGGATAAGGCAGGAGGATCACTTGAACCCAGGAGTTCAAGACCAGCCTGGGCAACACAGTGAGACGCCATTTCTAAAAAAAATAAATAATTAGCCAGGCACAGTGGGGCATATCTGTAGTCCCAGCTATTTGGGAGGTTGAGGTGAGAGGAACACTTGAGCCCAGGAGGGAGACTGCGGTGAGCCATGATCGTGCCACTGCACTCCAGCCTAGGGGACAGAGAAAGACCCTATTAAAAAAAAAAAAAAGAAAAGAAAAAGAAAAAAAAATCAGAGAACTGTCTAAACGTTCTAAAATTCCTGCTAGTAAAATTCCCACTTTTAAAGACATTATTTGTCTTACTAGTTTGGAATAGTCACTGATTTAGAATACAAACCACTCAGCATGATAAGAACTAAAGATCCCTATAAGCTCCATTCCTGTCACTGAATCCACTTGTCGAGGACATAGAGAAGGTAAGTTCCAGTTCCGGTATTTTCCAGAAAACTCTGTAGTTTGGTGCCTAAACGTTTTCACATCATCTTTTTAAATTTAAACGTTTTTGAAATAATTATACATTCACAGGAAATTGCAAAGATAGTACAGAGAGGTCCTGTGCACCCTTCACCCAGTTTCTCCCAATGACTGTGTTTTACGTAATTACAGCACAATATCAAACCCAGGAATCTGATATCAGTATAATGCATGTGTATAGTTCTATGTGCATATAACCATCACCTTTTTCGATGGAAAGTTTTTAAAGAGATTTTTTTAAAGCAAAGCTATGTAAGTATTTAACAATACAATCTCTTCCTGCAGGATAAGCAAAGTTAGAATTCACTGAGAAACAAAATTGTTAAATAGATTGATTCTTGTGCTTGGCAGGCAGTCAGTATATTCTCTTCACTAGAGAAAAACCAATTTGGGAAACCAGTGAGGCTCAGAAGGTTGCTTGGTAGACATGAGAACAATGCAGGCGATTGCTAACTGGATGTGTGACGTTAAGACATAACCCATTTAGAACCTGAAGATGGCTGGGTTAGATGATCTAGAGTTCCATTGGCTTTAAAACTCCACATTGCTATACTTCTTTTTTTTTTTGAGAGGAGTCTCACTCTGTCACCCAGGCTGGAGTCCAGTGGCACCATGCCGGCTCACTGCAACCTCCGCCTCCCAGGTTCGAGTGATTCTCCTGCCTCAGCCTCCCGAGTAGCTGGGATGACAGGCACCCGCCACCATGCCTGGCTAATTTTTGTATTTTTAGTAGAGACGGGGTTTCACCATGTTGGTCAGGCTGGTCTTGAACTCCTGACCTCAAGCAGTCTGCCCGCCTTGGCCTCCCAAAGTGCTGGGATTACAGGTGTGAGCAACCTCACTTGACCCACATTGCTATAATTCTAATACCAACTTTTACTCTGAACAAGGAGACGCTCTCAGGGGCTCATAGAGTACTCATTCACCAAAGTCCTCCTATACAGCAGACACTGCTCTGTACAGGCTGTATATAAATTAACAGTAAATAGAGTGCAAGTCATTATTCCAAACTCACAGCCGGGCACAGTGGCTCAGCCTGTAATCCCAGCACTTTGGGAGGCTGCGGGTGGGTGGTTCCTTGAGCTCAGGAGTTCAAGACCAATATGGTAAAAACCCTGTCTCTACTAAAAATACAAAAATTAGCCAGGCGTGGTGGCGCACGCCTGTAATCCCAGCTGGGTTTACTGTAAACCCAGTCCGAGCTGGGTTCTTTGCCTTCCTCCCCAAATCCACACCTTGCTCTCATGCACCCTGTCTCAGTGCATGGGTCAATCCTTGTCCTCTCCGATGACCAGGCATTGAGTTCTGATTCGCCCTTCTAAATCTCTCTCCAGTGAGATACCTCCATACTACGCCCATGTTAGTTCAAGTCATTTTTTATCCTAGATGACAGAAATAACTTCATGCTGACTTCTGTTTCTATTCTCTCTCGGATCTAACACACCCTTTATGATGTTATCCGTGTGACCGCTATAAAACACATATCTGCACCATTTTAAGTGTCTTATTTCCCCATTACTTACAGATAAAGTTCAAACTCCTTAACCTGGCACATAAAGGCCTGTTTGATCTGATTCCCAATTAACTTCTCTGTTGAATTCCCTGCCATTCCCTTGGGGCCCCAACTTAAACTGAATGTCTTTCAGGACTGAGAATATACTTCCAGGCTGGTGACCGCCTAATTTTTTTTTTTTTTTTTGAGACAGAGTCCCGCTCTGTCTGTCGCCCAGGCCCAGGCTGGAGTGCAGTGGCATGATCTCAGCTAACTGCAAGCTCGGCCTCCCAGGTTGACGCCACTCCCCCGCCTCAGCCTCCCGAGCAGCTGGGACCACAGGCGCCCGCCACCACACCCGGCCAATTTTTTGTATTTTTAGTAGAGATGGGGTTTCACCGTGTTAGCCAGGATGGTCTCCATCTCCTGACCTCGTGATCCACCTGCCTCGGCCTCCAAAAGTGCTGGGATTACAGGCATGAGCCACCGCGACCGGCCACCTCCTACTAATGTTTTAAGATTTAGCTCGGGGTGTCCAATCTTTTGGCTTCCCTGGGCCACACTGAAAGAAGAAAAACTGCCAGGCATGGTGGCTCACACCTGTAATCCCAGCACTTTGGGAAGCTGAGGCAGGTGGATCACGAGGTCAGGAGTTCGAGACCAGCCTGGCCAACATGGTGAAACCCTCTCTCTACTAAAAATACAAAAAATTAGCTGGGCGTGGTGGTGGGCTCCTGTAATCTCAGCTACTCGGGAGGCTGAAGGAGGAAAACTGCTTCAACCTGGGAGGTAGAGGTTGCAGTGAGCTGAGATCACGCCATTGCATTCAAGCATGGGTGACAGAATGAGACTCTGTCTTAAAAAAAAAAAAAACTGTCTTGGGCCACAAATAAAATAAGCTAACAATAATAGTAGCTGATGAGCTTAAAAAAAAAAAAAGGTCCATGCATAAATCTCATAGTGTTTTAAGAAAGTTTATGAATTTGTGTTGGGCTGCATTCAAAGCCATCTCGGCCGCAGGCTGGACAAGCTTCATTTAGCTCAAACATCAACTCTGCAGTGTTTTCTCTCCAACCACTTATCCTACTGCTGGTCAAATTCCTTATTCTATCCCTAATGCTCTAACAGTACTTTGTATACAATACTACGTTTCATGTTTGTGGTAAAGCATTTGTGTCGTACTGTACATGTTCACTTTCTCTGCATCTCCTTCCATCCCTGAAGACCAAAGCCTTGCCCTTTTCATCCCCAGGGCCAAGTCTAATGCTCAGCAAATTACAGGTATCCAGTGAAAGTTCACAGTTAACTTTCCCACCTCCCCCACTGCTACAGTCAAGGTCACTCTGTTCTTTGTCTTTTTGTTTCCCAGGCTCGCTCTCTCTGCTCACTAACAGGAAGCAGTACTAGCTCATCACTCAATCTTCACAACAACCTACAGGCTAAGTGCTGTTCGGTTATCCTGAATTTCAAGATAAAGGCACTAAGGCTTGGAGAAGTTATACAACTTGGAATGTGAGTGTGACTGCTGAACCAGGATTTGGACACAGATCTATTTGATTTAAAGCTGTGTCTCAAAGTCCAACTTAGGTGACTCCCTTAAATATGCCTCTCTTTCACCTCAAAACCTTTTAGCGTCTTATCAACTCTTTTCTTTCTCTCTTCTGTAAGAGGGAAGCACTTCTCCTTGCAAAGATTAACTCCCTTCAGCTGCACCTTCTTATTCCCTCTGGACCTGCCTCATCTGAGACTTTCTGTCCTTCAAATTCGTCCCCTCTTCATCTCAAAAATAACTTGAATTTGTTTTGTTCTAGAGCAGTGGTTCTCTAAGTGTGATCCCAGGCCAGTAGCATCAGCATCACCTGGGAATCTATTGGAAATGCAAATTCCCAGGCACTACCCCATACTCACTGAGTCAGAAACTCTAAGCGTGGGGCACAGAAAGTGGTTTTAGTCAGCCCTTCAGGTGATTTTGACAAAGGCCAAGTTTGAGAACCACTGTGGTAGTGGCTTCTTTCAAATATATGCTCAATTTCACATTTTTTTTTTCTTTTTGAGACAGGGTCTTGCTCTATCACTCAGGCTGGAGTGCAGTGGGGTGATCCTAGCTTACTGCAGCCTCCACCTCCCGAGCTCTATCTTCCCACTTCAGTCTCCCCAGTAGCTAGCACTACAGGCATGCGCCACCATACTCAGCTAATTTTTTACTATTCAAATAAATGGGGTCTCATTATGTTTCCCAAGCTGATCTGGAACTCCTGGCCTCAAGCAGCCCTCCTGACTTGGCCTACCAAAAGGCTAGGACTGCAGGCGTGAACCACCATGCCTGCCTTCAATTTCATATTCATTTATTTCTTCTTCTTGAGACAGCGTCTCGCTCTGTTACCCAGGTTGGAGTGCAGTGGCGCAATCTCAGCTAAGTGCAGTCTCCACCTCCCAGGCTCAAGTGATCCTCCCATTGTAGCCTCTTGAGTATCTGAGACTACAGATGGAGCCACCACACCCAGCTAATTTTTGCATTTTTTTAGAGATGGGGTTTCACCATATTACCCAGACTGCTCTCAAACCCCTGGGCTCAAGGGATCCACCCACCTTGACCTCCCAAAGTGCTGAGATTACAGGCGTGAGCCATTGTGCCCAGCCCAATTTTACATTCTAAAACAATCCAAACAAGGCCAGGCAAGGTGGCCCACGCCTGTAATCCCAGCACTTTGGGAGGCCGAGGTGGGTGGATCACTTGAGGTCGGGAGTTCGAGACCAGCTTGACCAACATGGTGAAACGCCATCTCTACTAAAAATAAAAAATTAGCCAGGCACCATGGTGTACACCTGTAGTCCCAGCTAGCTACTTGGGAGACTGAAGCAGGAGAATCACTTGAACCCGGGCCCGGGAGGCGGAGGTTGCAGTGAGCCAGTATCGCACACCATTGCACTGCAGCCTGGGCAACAAGGGCGAAACTCTGCCTCAAAAAAAAAAAAAAAAAAAAAAATAATAATAATAATAAAACAACCCAAACAGAAACACTTCTCCCCCCCGATTCATCTCATCCACTACTGTCTTAATCCTTTGCCATTCGCTTTCTTCGAGGCATCAATCACTCGGTGTGTAAGTCCAGAACATGCATGTACTCCTCAAACTCCTTTGACCAAGCTGGACACCCTTATTCCCTTTACAAATAAAACAATTGAATCTACTTGTCCAAATGGATCTGGGAGTTAAGTGCAGCAATTCTATCTTAAGGAGAAAAATTTGAAATATTATCAAACGTAGCACGGAGGGTAATAAAAGTAAAAACGCATTAAAGATGTCAAGATAGACTGGTTTAATTGAGTAGTGAAATCAGAAGGCAGATTGCCAGAGGCCAAAGACAGACAATGTGAATTCAGGACTCCTTCACCCCAGCACGCGCGCGCGCGCGCGCACACACACACACACACACACACACACACACACACACACTAAAAAATAGCATCTAGGATTTAGGTGAGCAAACTGAAATCAGTAATTATAAATACAGTCTTTCCTGTTCCAATGATTGTGAAGTGACAGTGAGATAAGAGTTCCACAGATGGGCCAGGTGCTGTGGTTCACGCCTGTAATCCCAGCACTTTGGGAGGCCAAGACGGGCGGATCACCTGAGGTCAGGAGTTCAAGACCAGCCTGGCCAACATGGTGAAACCCTGTCTCTACTAAAATACAAAAATTAGCTGGGCATGATGGCGGGTGCCTGTAATCCCAGCTACTCAGGAGGCTGAGACTGGAGAATCACTTGAATCTGGAAGATGGTGGTTGCGGTGAGCCGAGATTGCACCACTGCACTCCAGCCTGGGCAGCTGAGTGAGACTCCTTCTCAAAAAAATAAAATAAAATAAATGAGTTCCACAGATGAAAGAGGACATAAAGAGTAATATCCAGAGGCTGAGGCAGGAGAATGGCGTGAACCCGGGAGGCGGAGCTTGTAGTGAGCTGAGATCACGCCACTGCACTCCAGCCTGGGCGACAGAGCGAGATTCCATCTCAAAAAAAAAAAAAAAAAAAAAAAAAAGAGTATCTAATAAAG
Source organism: Homo sapiens (assembly GCF_000001405.40). Lineage (NCBI taxonomy): Eukaryota > Metazoa > Chordata > Mammalia > Primates > Hominidae > Homo > Homo sapiens. Next base: position 179,752,583 of record NC_000005.10, on the reverse strand, counting down.
TGTTAAACTCAACACAGTACAAACGTACTCATTACTCAACAGCACTAATAGAAATATGCCAGCCACAAGTGTGGGCAAAATTTGCTAGTAGCACATAAAAAGAAACAGATGGTGCCAATTTTAATATCATATTTAACCCAATATATATGAACTTTTTAACATATAATCAGTATTTTTTGAGAAAAAATCTTAATATCTTTAATAATGTTATTTAACCATATATATATATATATTTTTTTTTTTTTTTTTTTTTTTTTTGGAGACAGAGTCTAGCTCTGTTGCCAGGCTGGAGTGCAGTGGTGCGATCTCGGCTCACTGCAACCTCCACCTCCCGCGTTCAAGCGATTCTCCTGCCTCAGCCTCTTGAGTGGCTGGGACTACAGGCGTGCGCCACCACACCCAGCTAATTTCTGTATTTTTAGTAGAGAGGGGGTTTCGCTATGTTGGCCAGGATGGTCTTGATCTCTTCACCTCGTGATCCACCCACCTCGGCCTCCCAAAGTGCTGGGATTACAGGTGTGAGCCACCACACTGGGCCTATATTATCTTTTTAACATGTAATCAGTATTTTTTTTTCTTTGAGACAAGGTCTCACTCTATTGCCCACGATGGAGTGCAGTGGTGCAATCACAGCTCACTGCAGCCCTGACCTCCCAGGCTCAGATGATCCTCTCACCTCAGCCTCCCTAGTAGCTGGAACTACAGGTGTACACCACCAAGCCTGGCTAATTTTTTGTAAAGATGGGGTTTTGCCATGCTGCCCAGGCTGGTCTTGAACTCCTGGGCTCAAGTGATCTGCCCAGTTCAGCCTCCCCAAGTGCTGGGATTACAGGCATGAGCTACTGTGCCTGGCCATAATCGGTATTTTTTTCTTTTTTTGAGATGGAGTCTCGCTCTGTCACCCAGGCTGGAGTGCAGTGGCATGATCTTGGCTCACTGCACCCGCTGCCTCCCGGGTTCAAGTGATTCTCCTGCCTCAGCCTCCCGAGTAGCTGGGATTACAGGTGTGCGCCACCATGCCCGGCTAATTTTTGTATTTTTAGTAGAGACGGGCTTTCGCCATGCTGGCCAGGGTGGTCTCGAACTTGACCTCATGATCCGCCCGCCTTGGCCTCCCAAAGTGTTGGGATTACAGGTGACAGCCACTGAAGTGAGTGCACCAAAAAAATCTGTGGTACTAAATTATCAAAATCCAGTGTGCATTTTACACTTTTAGCACAAGTCAAGTTTAACAAGGTGCATTCCACGTGCTTAAGAACCTGACCTGGCTGATGGCTACCCTCATGGACAGTATAACTATAGAAAGTAGCCAGCTGGGCACGGTGGCTCACGCCTGTAATCCCAGCACTTTAGGAGGCCGAGGCGGGTGGATCACCTGAGGTCAGGAGTTTGAGACCAGCCTGACCAATATGGTGAAACCCTGTCTCTACTAAAAATAAAAAATTAGCTACGCATCGTGGTGTGCGCCTGTAGTCCCAGCTACTCGGGAGGCTGAGACAGGAGAATCGCTTGAACCCAGGAGGCAGAGGTTGCAGTGAGCCAAGATCGTGCCACTGCACTCCAGCCTGGTGACAGAGCGAGATTCTGATTTAAAAAAAAGTAGCCTTGAACAACTAAGTTTTCAGGACAGCACTGAAGATAAGGGAAGCCCCCGGGACCTGCCGCCTGGGCCCAGCAGCAGCTCCTTACTGCACAAAGGGCTCCATACAGCAGGCACTGTGGCTCTGTGCCAGCTGCCTCCTTGCTGGGAATCGTCATCCTTGCCCACCTTTCTCTTTCTAGCAAACTCTTCCTCATCATCTCATTCAATTTATCCAATAAGAATCTACTGAGAGCCGTCAGGCCTGTAATCCCAGCACTTTGGGAGTCCCAGGCAAGCGGATTGCTTTGCACTCAGGAGTTCGAGACCAGCCTGGGGAACACGGCAAGACCCCACCTCTACAAAAAATACAATAATTAGCCGGACATGGTGGCTCATACCTGTAATCCCAGCTACTAAGGACACTGAAGCAGGAGAATAGCTTGAGCCCGGGAAGCAGAAGTTGCAGTGAGCCTAGATCGGGCCACTGTACTCCTGCCTGGGAGTCAAGAGACCCTGTCTTAAAACAAAAACAAAAAAATCTATTGAGAGCTGACTGAGCCAGCCACTCTCTGGGCCCTAGGGATACAGCAGAGAAACAAGCAAACAAAACCACAGGCTCTCCTAGAGCCTATATTCTAGCTGAGACGTACTCCCGAGAAAACAAATCACTCAAAGAGAGAGTTGGTGGGACTTATGATTCCAAATAAGGTGCTCAGGAAAGGGCTCACAGAGTAAGCATGTGAAGTCTAAGCAAGAATCCGCAGGAGATAAGAGCACATGGCCACATCCACAGAAGATCATTTGGTAATTTTATTTACTATTTCACTATTTGGGCAGCTATTATAACTACATGTAAATGAATATCAAAGATGATTAATATTAAAGCGGAGAGCAGGTGCACACTGGCAGTGCAAGGAGAGGGCAGCACTGCCCCTGCTGGATGGAGGCTCCAGGAGGTGAGCGCATCAATCTCCAGGTTGTGATCTGACTTCTGCTTCTCCGGGAGCTGACAAAGCCCCTCCTGAGGAAGTCGTGAGCAAGATCTTGGAGTTTTGGGAAACACAGGGCTCAGCATAGTCAGGCACCAGGCAGGGCCAAGGTGGGGACCAGGCGCTGGACCTGCAGTGGAAATACAGTCAGAGCAAGGGGGCTGCCCTGTACTTCCTGTTTCTAAGCTCACCATGGCCTGCCTTCACCTCTCGGTGGGTTGCACTGCTGCAGTATGGCTCAGTTGCCCTCCACGTCTGGTGCAGAGCCGCCACCCTAGGATCACTTCTCGCCATCCTCTGTGGGCCTCCCAGGCCATGTCTACTGTGTTGGGCTCCTGTTTGCTGTATCTGTGTCTTACTCTTTCATGATTTAGTCTTTCAATTTGGTGGAACACATCTTCCAGTAGCTTCTTGAGAAGGAGTATGACATTTAAATTTTTTAAACCTTTTTCGGCCAGGCACAGTGGCTCAGGCCTGTAATCCCACCACTTTGGGAAGCCGAGATGAGTGGATCACTAGAGGTCAGGAGTTCAAGACCAGCCTGGCCAACATGGTGAAACCCCTTCTGTACTAAAAATACAAAAATTTGCTGGGTGCGGTGGCTCACGTCTGTAATCCCAGTACTTTGGGAGGCCGAGGCAAGCGGATCACTTGAGGTTGGGAGTTCAAGACCAGCCTGACCAACGTGGAGAAATCCTGTCTCTACTAAAAACACAACATTATCCAGGCGTGGTGGCGCATGCCTGTAATCTCAGCTACTCGGGAGGCTGAGGCAGGAGAATCGCTTGAACCCAGAGGCGGAGGTTGCAGTGAGCAGAGATCGCGCCATTGCACCCCAGCCTGGGCAACAAGAGCAAAACTCCATCTCAAACAACAACAACTAGCCAGGTGTGGTGGCAGGCGCCTGTAATCCCAGCTACTCAGGAGGCCTAGACAGGGGAATTGCTCAAACCCAGGAGGTGGAGGTTGCAGTGAGCCAAGATCATGCCACTGAATTCCAGCCCGGGCGACAGAGTGAGACTCCATCTCAAACAAACAAACAAAAAACAAAAAAAAAAAAAACAAAAACACCTTTTTCTCACTTATTCTTGTTGTATAGTTAGGCTAGGTACAGAAGTCCAGGTTAGTAATCACTTTCCTTCAGAATTTTGAAGACATTGTTCCAATTCTCTTTTTGCTTCCTATGCTGCTGCCATGAAGTCCAAAGACATTCTGATTCTTGATATGTGACCTGGTACCCTCCCATCCAGAAGCTTGTAAATCTTTTCTATCAACTCAATGTTCAGAAATTCCATGCCTGGTGCAGGTCTATTTTCTTCCCTAGTGCTAGGCACAAGTACACAGTTTTAATCTGTTGGCTCATGTGCTTCTGTTATCAACTATTTTATAGGTCACTTCCCACCTTGTTTTCTCTCTTCCTGTAATTCCTATTATTCGGATGTCGGACCACTTACACTGGTCCTTAAATTTTATTGATATGCCTTTATTAAACAACTCTTATAATATTGTTAGAACATTTTTAGGGCATGTGGTTTATAAAATCACAGTTTCTGTCTCACTTTTCAAAAACTGTGGTCAAAGGCACAGAACATAAAATTTACCATCTTAACTTTTTAAAGTATACAGTAGTCGGCTGGGTGCAGTGGCTCATGGCTGTAATCCCAGCACTTTGAGAGGCTGAGGTGGGTGGATCACTTGAGGTCAGGAGTTCGAGTCCAGCCTGGCCAACATGGCAAAATCCCATCTCTACTAAAAATACAAAATTAGCCAGGCGTGGTGGCAGGCACCTGTAGTCCCAGCTACTCAGGAGGCTGAGACACAAGGATCGCTTGAATCCAGGAGGTAGAGGCTGCAGTGAGCCAAGATATCACCACTGCACTCCAGCCTGGGCGACAGAGTGAGGCTCCATGTCAAAAAAATTAGTAAATAAAGTATGCAATAGTGTTAACCAAATGCACATTGTTGTGTAAGTAGAACTTACTCATCTAGTTATATCCATGAACAACTCCCCTATCTCTTCCCCGAGCCCATGACAACTACCATTCTACTTTCTGTTTCTATGAGTTTATTTTAGACATCTCAAATAAGTAGAATCATGCAATATTTATTTTTTGTGACTGTCTTATTTCACTTAGCATAATGTCCTCAAAGATCATGTTGCAGCACAGAACAGTATTTCCTTCTTTTTTTTTTTTTTTTTTTTTGAGATGGAGTCTCGCTGTCGCCCAGGCTGGAGTGCAGTGGGACAATCTCGGCTCACTGCAGGCTCCGCCTCCCGGGGTTCACGCCATTCTCCTGCCTCAGCCTCCCAAGTAGCTGGGACTACAGGTGCCCACCACCTCACCTGGCTAATTTTTTGTATTTTTAGTAGAGACGGGGTTTCACCGTGTTAGCCAAGATGGTCTCGATCTCCTGACCTCGTGATCCGCCCGCCTCGGCCTCCCGAAGTGCTGGGATTACAGGCATGAGCCACCGTGCCCAGCCTATTTCCTTCCTTTTTAAGGCTGAATAATATTCTGTTGTATGGATATGCCACATTTTCTTTATCCATTCATCTGTGATGGACATTCAGGTCGCTCCCTCCTAGTGTGATCAATGAAGCCCTAAACATGGATGTGCAAATCAGGACCTCCTGCCTTACCTCTACCAACTCCACTTCCCAACTGGTCCTAGCCCAAAGCCATACAGCTTCTGACTCTCACTTCAGAGCACCTTCTATAATACCATTAACACACAGTCAACAGATGCTTGATGACTGCCAAATACAGCAGGTACAATGCCAGACTCTTGGTCTTGCTCTTAAGTTGCTCATAGTCTAATACAGAACAGCAAAAACACACTAATTAAAAGTGTGAAAGCCAGGTGCATTGGCACACATCTGTAATCCCAGCTACTAGGGAGCTAAGCCCAGGAGTTGAAGGCTGTAGTGCACCATGATAGCACCTATGAATAGCCACTGCACTCCAGGTTGGGAGACAGAGCAAGACTTCGTCTCTACCAAAAATAAAAATAAACCCAGCCTGAGACTCTGTTTCAGGGGTAGGCGGCTGGGAAATAACAAAGAAAGAAAGAAACAAGGTACCTCTTAACTGAAAGAATAGCAGGCATAATCAATAACCAATTTATAAGACTTGCTAAAGGCTTTTTGTTATATTTCTCACTGAGAGTGAAGACTAATGACTAGATAAATCCTTTTGCAAGTCGGATGGTTTCTAATTCTTAGTTTTCAATGAAATTAAAAGACTAACCAAGTTGTCAACTGATAAGTTAATTTTTGATTATATGTAACTGTGATTTTTTGGCACACAATTCAGGTTTCAAAATATTGAGTAACATTGCTGGCTAGGTGTGGTGGCTCACGCCTGTAATCCCAGCACTTTGGGAGGCCGAGGTGGACCAATTACCTGAGGTCGGGAGTTCAAGACCAGCCTGACCAACGTGGAGAAACCCTGTCTCTACTAAAAATACAAAATTAGCCGGGTGTGGTGGCGTATGCCTGTAATCCCAGCTACTCGGGAGGCTGAGGTGGGAGAATCACTTGAACCCTGGGAGGCAGAGGTTGCGGTGAGCCAAGATCACGCCACTGCACTCCAGCCTGGGCAACAAGAGCGAAACTGTCTCAAAAAAAACAAAACATTGCTATAACTAAACTTATTCCCTTTTTTTTTGAGACGGAGTCTCGCTCTGCCGCCAGGCTGCAGTGCAGTGGCACAATCTCCGCTCACTGCAATCTCTGCCTCCCAGGTTCAAGCGATTCTCCTGCCTCAGCCTCCCAAGTTGCTGGGATTACAGGCAACAGCCACCACACCCGGCTAATTTTTGCATTTTTAGTAGAGACGGGGTTTCGCCATGTGGGCCAGGTTAGTCTCGAACTCCTGACCTCAGGTGATCCGCACCTGCCTCGGCCTCCCAGAGTGCTGGGATTACAGGTGTGAGCCACCGTGCCAAGCCATTTTTTTTGGTTTTGTTTTTTTTTTTTGAGGCAGAGTTTTGCTCTGTCACCCAGGCTGGAATGGAATGGCGCTATCTCAGCTCATCGAAACCTCCGCCTCCCCAGTTCAAGTGATTCTCCTGCCTCAGCCTCCCGAGTAGCTGGGATTACAGGCACATGCCACCACGCCCGGCTAATTTTTTTTTTTTTTTTTTTTTTTTTGAGACGGAGTTGCGCTCTGTCGCTCAGGCTGGAGTGCAGTGGCACGATCTCGGCTCACTCCACGCTCCGCCTCCTGGGTTCACGCCATTCTCCTGCCTCAGCCTCCTCAGTACCTGGGACTACAGACGCCCGCCACCACGCCTGGCTAATTTTTTGTATTTTTAGTAGAGACGGGGTTTCACTGTGTTAGCCAGGATGGTCTCGATCTCCTGACCTCGTGATCTGCCCGCCTCGGCCTCCCAAAGTGCTGGGATTACAGGTGTGAGCCACTGCACCTGACCACGCCCGGCTAATTTTTATATTTTTAGTAGAGACGGGGTTTCTCCATGTTGGCCAGGCTGGTCTTGAACTGCTGACCTCAGGTGATCCGCCCGCCTCTGCCTCCCAAAGTGCTGGGATTACAGGCGTGAGCCACCGCGCCCAGCCATTATTACTTTCCTTTATAGTTTATTTATGTGAGCAAGAATTTCTGGGACTTAAATTTACAAAAACAAAAACAAGAACTGAACTGAGAACTCTTACTTTGGCTACAAGTAACTCCATAAATGACATGAATAAATCAAGGCAGGTAAGGGAGCCCTATCTCATTAGGGAGGGCATTTCTAATAAACTTGTACTTTTTTACATAATAATTACTTATAAAAATTTATAATGCGGCCGGGCACGGTGGCTCACGCCTGTAATCCCAGCACTTTGGGAGGCCGAGGCAGGCGGATCACGAGGTCAGGAGATCGAGACCATCCTGGCTAACACGGTGAAACCCCATCTCTACTAAAAATACAAAAACAAAATTAGCTGGGCGTGGTGGTAGGAGCCTGTAGTCCCAGCTACAAGGGAGGCTGAGGCAGGAGAATGGCGTGAACACGGGAGGCAGAGCTTGCAGTGAGCCGAGATTGTGCCACTGCACTCCAGCCTGGGCAACAGAGCAAGGCTCAGTCTCAAGAAAAAAAAAAAAAATTTATAATGCATGCGTTGTTTTGTACTAAATTACTATAACTCAACTTGTTGAAATAAGAAATAGATGTACCAGAATCTTATAAATGCTACATCTATTATTCTGCATGAATCAACTTGAAAGAGAGCAAAAGCAGCTGGGCGCGGTGGATTACCTGAGGCCAGGAGTTCAAGACCAGCTTAGCCAATATGGTGAAACCTCGTCTCTACTAAAAATAAAAAAATTAGCCGGGCATGGTAGCTACTCGGGAGGCTGAGGCAGAACTGCTTGAACCCGGGAGGCGGAGGTTGCAGTGAGCCAAGATCGTGCCACCACATTCCAGTCTGGGAGACAGAGTGAGACTCCGTCTAAAAAAAAAAAAAAAATCCTGCCAAAAGGATCCAGCTTAATGGTGAAAGTAAATTTAAAATTTTTATTTTGGCCAGGTGTGGTGGCTCACGCTTGTAATCCCAGCACTTTAGGAGGCCGAGGCAGGTGGATCATGAGGTCAGGAGGTTCAAGACCAGCCTGGCCAACATTGTGAAACCCCATCTCTACTAAAAATACAAAAATTAAGACAGGCGTGGTGGCAGGTGCCTGTAATCCCAGCTACTCCGGAAGCTGAGGCAGGAGAACTGCTTAAACCCGGGGGAGTGGAGGTTGCGGTGAGCCAAGACCATGCCACTGCACTCCAGCCTGGGCAACAGAGCAAGACTCCATCTTGAAGAAGAAAAAAAATTTAATTTTTTATACCTCTTTTTGTTGCAAAGAAATGTGCTAGAATGATAAATAAAAGGCTTCCAAACATATATTACGTTAAAATAAAACATATTATGTGGGCTAAGTGTAAAAAGAATGCAAGTTCCAGGAGAAAAAGGAATTTAAAATTTCTGTTAAAGCATTCTTTAAACAGTTGATGAAAGATAGCATATCGCTAAGATATTCGGATTCCACTGGCTACATTTTAAAAACTGATGTAACCATTTTATTTTTAAATGATAATATTTATAATTCTCTGGAAGTTATATACCCTGCAACTATAAATAGCACCTTCTTTTAAAAGAGTTGATTCAAATTAAATATATGTAGCAATTATAAGACTGTTACCTAAATGTATTATTTCATATATTTAATTTAATAAAATTGAATTATGGTAACTTAGTTTACAATTGATAAACAAAAAAATGCATTATAAGTTTTCATAAGCTTAAAAACTTAAGATGAAAAGTGCTAGGTGTCAACTTAAAAATGTGTGAGCGAGGGCCGGGCGCAGTGGCTCACATCTGTAATCCCAGCACTTTGAGAGGCTGAGGCGGGTGGATCGCAAGGTTAGGAGATCGAGGCTGGCTAACAAGGTGAAACTCCGTCTCTACTAAAAATACAAAAAAAAAATTAGCCGGGCGTGGTGGTGGGCGCCTGTAGTCCCAGCTACTTGGGAGGCTGAGGCAGAAGAATGGCGTGAACCTGGGAGGTGGAGCTTGCAGTGAGCCGAGATCACACCACTGCCCTCCAGCCTGGGAGACACAGTGAGACTCTCTTAAAAAAAAAAAAAAAAAAAAAAGCGTGGGGCAGGGGGTCGGGCATGGTGGCTCACGCCTGTAATCCCAGCACTTTGGGAGGCGGAGGCAGGCGGATCACCTGAGGCCGGGAGTTCGAGACCAGCCTGACCAACATGGAGAAACCCCATCTCTAATAAAAATACAAAATTAGCCTGGCATGGTGGTGCCTGCCTGTAATCCCAGCTACCCGGGAGGCTGAGGCAGGGGAATCACTTGAACCCGGGAGGTGGAGGTTGCAGTGAGCCAAGATGGTGCCATTGCACTCCAGCCTGGGCAACAGGAGTGAAACTCTGTCTCAAAAAAAAAAAAAAAAAAAAAAAGTGTGAAGGGGTTCACAGTATTTCAACATTATTTTGTCCAAACACCCAGTCTCAAATATAAGGCTTTTCATGACCTAACTCACCTTCTTGCCTTTAAGTCCCAAATTCAAAGAACTACTAGTGCTTTTGCTTAGTGCCCTAAAGGAAATCAAAGTCCTATTAAATACCACCTGATAAGAGCTCATGTCTTCATGCATAGCCGCATATTAAAGATTTGAAATGTTCTTTCTTTTTAGATGGAATCTTGCTCTGTCACCTGGGCTGGAGTGCAGTGGTACAATTTCAGCTCACTGCAACCTCCGCCTTCTGGGTTCAAGTGATTCTCCTGCCTCCTGCCTCAGCCTCCCAAGTACCTGGGATTAGAGGTGTGTGCCGTCACGCCCAGCTAATTTATTTTTATTTTTTTAGTAGGGACAGGGTTTCACCATGTTGGCCAGGCTGGTCTCGAACTCCTGATTTCAAATGATCCACCCACCTCAGCCTCTCAAAATGCTGGGATTACTGGTGTCAGACACTGAATGTGGCAAAAATGTTGGTTTTTTTTTTATTATTTATTTTGAGATGGAATCTCACTCTGTCGCCTGGGCTGGAGTGCAGTGTCACGATCTCGGCTCACTGCAACCTCCGGTGCCCAGGTTCTAGGGATTCCCCTGCCTCAGCCTCCTGAGTAGCTGGGATTACAGGCACGTACCACCACGTCCGGCTAATTTTTGTATTTTTAGTAGAGATGAGGTTTCACCATATTGGCCAGACTGGTCTCAAACTCCTGACCTCAGATGATCCACCCGCCTTGGCCTCCCAAAGTGCTGGGATTACAGGCATGAGCCACCGTGCCTGGCCAAAAATGTTCTTAATAAAGCAAATTAAGTTTGTTGGCCAGGTGCGGTGGCTCACGCCTGTAATCCCGGCACTTTGGGAGACCGAGGCGGGTGGATCACCTGAGGTCAGGAGTTCGAGACCAATCTGGCAAACATGGTGAAACCCCGTCTCTACTAAAAATACAAAAAATTAGCCTCAGCTACTTGGGAGGCTGAGGTGGGAAAATTGCTTGAACCCAGGAGGTGGAGGTTGCAGTGAGCCGAGATCACCCCACTGCACTCCAGCCTGGCGACAGACGGAGACTCTGTCTCAAAAAATAAATCAATAAAACAAATTTAAAAAATAAAATACATTTGTTTAGCCAATATGTGCAGATGCTCAGAGGGAAAAAGAATTGTTTAGCCCAGTGTTCCTCAAATGTGTTCCACTGTAACTTTCAACAGCCCATGAAATTAGTGTTCCATGGAACACCTCTGGGGAAAGCATCTGGCTAAAGCTTAAGATCCACCTTAAAAGTAAATTCTTTTTTTTTTTTTTTTTTTTTGAGACAGTCTCGCTCTGCCACCCAGGCTGTAGTACGATGTCACAATCTCAGCTCACGACAACCTCGACCTCCTGGGTTCAAGTGATTATCCTGCCTCAGCCTCCTGAGTAACTGGGATTACAGGTGTATGCTACCGTGCCCGGCTAATTTTTGTATTTTTTACCAGAGACGGGGTTTCACCATTTTGGCCAGGCTGCCCTTGAACTCCTGATCTCAAGTGATCCGCCCACCTCAGCCTCTCAAAGTGCTGGGATTACAGGCGTGAGCCACCACGCCTGGCCAAGAGTCAATTCTTTAAAGCCTTCCAAACTTCACCAAAAAGGCATCCCCCTTCCTCAATATTCTCACAGGCTTTAGCCCTGAACTCGGCTTTGCAATGACCTGTGTATCATCTGCTCCCACTTAGGCTCCGCGATACAGGTTCACCATCTACCACGATTCCTGGCTCCAGCAGGACTTCAATGTTGGTTGAAAGAACCACCAACTGAACGCTGGGAATTGTGGAAAAGGAGTGGAAAATTCCCAGGTTTTTACTCTGGATGACTGGGTTAGGGAAAATACTTAGAAGGAACATATGATTTGGTAGGAAAAAGGGAAAGTCCATTTTGGATATGTGGGAAATATATCCTGGAAAGATGAAAATGTCCAGCAGACAGCTGGAAATGTGGATTTGAAATCTGGAAGACAGATCTGGACTGGGGATTTGAAGAGTATTATTACAGGTGACAAATGAAGCTATGAAAGAATCAATAACATCACCCAGGGGAAAAAAAGAGTGAAAATGGCCAGGGATATAGTTGCCTAGAGAACACTAATATTTTTAAAGTGCAAAGAAAGTTTCTCAAGCCATAAAACTAGGAATTTCCCTTGAATACTCCCCTCTCCTGCCCGCAAAACAAAGCCATCTAGTCCAGCAACCCAGTCCTGTCACCTCTGCCCTCAGGAACTGTCCAAAACCCATCTCCTCTTCTCCATCTCCACTGCTACCACCAGCCCCAGCCCTGGCATCTAGAGAGCTACAAAAGCTTTATATGCATCCACTCCTATCCACACCAACCCCAGGCATCCTCCACCTAGCACCAGAACCATCTTCCAAAACTTAAAGATCGGCCGGGCACAGTGGCTCACACCTGTAATCCCAGCACTTTAGGAGGCCGAGATGGGCGGATCACGAGGTCAGGAGATAGAGACCATCCTGGCTAACACGGTGAAACCCGTCTCTACTAAAAAAAAAAATACAAAAAAATTAGCCGGGTGTGGTGGCGGGCACCTGTAGTCCCAGCTACTTGGGAGGCTGAGGCAGGAAAATGGCGTGAACCCGGGAGGCGGAGCTTGTAGTGAGCTGAGATTGCGCCCCTGCACTCCAGACTGGTCAGCAGAGCAAAAAAACCTAAGTTGGATCATATCATGTTTCTGCTCCCTATCCTGCTACTGCTTCCTACTGCACTTGATCTGGTCCTAGGTGCCACGCTGCTCCAGACACACTGGCCTGCTTTCTGTTCTTCATGCCAGCTCAGAAGGGTCCTAACTCAGACACTTGGTACTGGTGGTTCTCTCTAACTGGAATGTTCTAAGACTTTCAGCTGACTGACAGCCTCTCAATCATCAAGCTCAAATCAAGGCATCTTAAGCTACGACTGTCATTTAGTATCACATGACTCTGCTTTTAATTTTTGCTTAGCACTTATTATAACAAAGTTAACAAAAATATTGACCTCCTCTTTCTCCATGACAGCAGAATTTTAATTTGTCCTATTCGCTACTGTACACAGCAGTTCCCTTGGTGTCCATGGGGAATTGGTTCTAAGACCCCTGCCCAGCCTCGCCGGGACACCAAAATCCAAGGATGCTCAAGTCCCTTACATAAAATGGCCTAGTATTTGCAATAATATATACACATCTTCCAGGATACTTTAAATCACCTCTAGATTACTTACAATACTTCGTATGATAGAAATGCTATGTAAATGTTGTCATATTTTTATTTTTTATTTATTTTTGATGCAGGGTTTGGATGTCACCCAGGGGCTAAGGTGCAGTGGCGCAATCATAGCTCGCTGCAGCCTTTACCTCCCGGTCCCACGCAATCCTCCTACTTCGGTCTCCCGAGGAGCTGAGAATACAGATGCATGCCACCATGCTTTTATAGAGATGACATCTCACTATGCTGCTCAGGCTGGTCTTGAACTCCTGGGCTCAAGAAATCCACCAGCTTTGGCCTCCTGAAGTGCTGGAATTACAGGTGTGAGCCACCATACCCAGCTATATTTTTATTTTTATTTTTCTATTCTATTCTATTCCGTTCCGTTCCGTTCTATTCTATTCTATTTGAGAGATGGAGTCTTGTTATATTGCTAAGCCTGGTCTAAAACTCCTGAGCTCAAGCTATCCTCCCACCACAGCTTCCCAAAAGTTCTGAGATTACAGGCATGAGCCACCATGCTGAGCTGCATATTATAATTTGTGTTAATTGTTGTACTGTTATTTTTTTACTTTTTTTTCCAAAAAATATTTTCTATCTACAGTTGGTTGAATCCGCAGATGCAGAATGCGCAGATACGGAGGGCTGATTGTACTCTGGCCCACAGCAGGTGCTCAAATATTTGCTGCATGAATTAATAAGGGAAAATAGTAAGGAGACTGAGAAAAAAAGTCAGAAAGCTGAAAAGGAAATCAGAAGAGAGGAGAAGCTAAGAAAAGGAAGAAGTCACGAAGAATGATGACTAAGATGCCAATGAGGCTGGGTGTGGTGGCTCACGCCTGTAGTCCCAGCTACTGAGGAGGCTGTGGTGGGAGGATCACTTGAGCCTGGGAGGTTGAGGCTGTAGTGAGCCATAATGGTGCCACTGCACTCCAGCCTAGGCAACACAGTGAGACCCTGTCTCCAAAAAAAAAAAAAAGATGCCAATAAATTTGGCAAGTCCATCCTTGGTGTCCTTTACGGAGGCAACTTCAGAGTAATAGAAGAGGTAGAAGGCATATTACCATAGGCTAATGAGTAAATGAGAAGTTCAAGTGGGAAGGGCAAAGGGAAAGAAGAATATGGAATACTATTTTGACAGTGAGAAAACACAGGACTTGTCAGTGTGGAGAATATTTGTTCATAATTTCAAGCTGAAGGGAAAGACTCAGTTGGGAAGGGAGATACTGAAGACAAAAAAGGAAAGAGGGTTCTAGACAAGGTCTCAGGCATTACAGGAAGAAATGAGATCCTAAAGCCACACTGATCATCTTTTTAAAAAAACTAATGCCCCACATGATTACAGTACAGTATCTGTTTTATATTCAGAAATATCTACTTCCTGGAAATAATTTGTTATTTCATAATTCTTACAAGAGTTTGGTCTACAAAATTAACAGCTTTCTTAACTCTTAAAAGGTACACATGGGGTGGTTTGGCAGCAGAGAGCTATGAGGTGTGCAGCATACTCTCAGGTGGTTCAGAGAATAAAAGTCTGAGAGAGAGAGAAAGAGGCAGAGAGTGGGAGAGAGAGAATGTGCAAATGATAACAAATGGGGCACAACAGTGACAACAGGTAAATCTAGGTAACCAGATGTTCTTTGTACCAAACTTAGAGCTTTTCTCTAAGTTTGACATTATTTACAAATAAAAGGTTAAAAAAGAGAGAAAGAAACTTTACACACCTAAAACTAAGTAAGAAAATCAACTTTCGGCCAGGCAAGGTGGCTCACACCCATCTCTACAAAAAACTTTAAAACCTAGCCGGGTGCGGTGGTGCACACCTGTAGTCCCAGCTACTCAGGAGGCTGAGGTGGGAGGACCCCTGGAGCCCAGCAGTTCAAGGCTGTAGTGCCCCACGATCGCGCCACTGGGTGATAGAGCCAGACCCTGTTTCAAGAAAAAAGGAAAAGAAATGAAAACCTAATAGACTCATTCCTTGAAAATTAGAATAGAGAAAAAGCCTGAAACAGTGTTTCTGATTCATCTCTAACAGACTAAGCAGATAGTGGCTAAGACTTCGCTGTGGTGGGATATCCTAAGAAAACAATAATCTGAAGTGAAGTAAACTCTAGCAGTAAATCTGATCCCTTCTCAGTCATACAAATGGGTTGCTGGTGAAGTAACTATGAAATGACTGCCAAACAGTATATAGTTCACTTGGAAAAAACTTAAGAACTTATAATATTCCTTAAGTAAGAAATATTAATGAGATCAAATACATGGAGTTGTCAAAAATAACAATGACTAAGAGGTACCTTCTTTCCATCTCTTTCTGCAAAGCTGTTTTCTCCAAGCCAAAATCGTACATACTCAAGGACTCTCTTCCCCCCTGAATTGAAGGAGCCACTGTTTTCTTAATGATACTTATCTTCTGTTCCGATGACCCCATTCCAAGGCCAAAGAGCTCAGCTAGACTAACTTGGAGTCCAAATGCAAAGCGTCCCTCTTCCTAGCAGAGACACAGAAAAGCACATCCACCGTAGAGTTTAAACTCAAGAAATCCATAAGTCAAGGTTTAATGTGATAAAAAGACATCACCTTAACATGGCACATCTGATTAAGCTCTGATATCAAAAGGAATGACTGACAAATTAGATTCAAATTCTAACACACTCAGAATTAATTTCTCTTCAAACAGCATGCCCAGTTTCCCCCACTGACTCAGGACTAAAAAAAATCATACAGGGTCTAAATTCTTAGAACAACTTTAAACAAAAATTGAATCATTACTAATATACCTTTTTTTTTTTTTTTTAATTTGAGACGGAGTCTCCCTCTGTTGCCCAGGCTGGAGTGCAGTGGTACGATCTCAGCTCACTGTAACCTCCGTCTCCCAGGTTCCAGCGATTCTCCTCCCTCAGCCTCCCGTGTAGCTGGGACCACAGGCGCACGCCACATGCCCAGCTAATTTTTGTATTTTTAGTAGAGACGGGGTTTCACCATGTTAGCCAGGCTGGTCTCGAACTCCTGACCTCAGGCGATCCACCCACCTCTGCCTCCCAAAGTGCTGGGATTACAGGAGTCAACCACTGCTCCCGGCCCCCCTAATATACTTTCTAGGGAGGATTCAAGGCAACTATTTGTGTATTAAACTATGATTTTTATGAGCTTTCATTATTTACTTCAATTGCAATGACCACGAACTACTCTTAAAAGTCCTTCCTTACACAGGCCAAGCGTGGCGGCTCATGCCTGTAATCCCAGCACTTTGGGAGGCCAGTGCGGGAGGATCACAAGGTCAGGAGATCGAGACCATCCTGGCCAACATGGTGAAACCCCGTCTCTACTAAAATACAAAAAATTAGGGGAGCGTGGTGGCACAAGCCTGTAGTCCCAGCTACTTGGGGGGCTGAGGCAGGGGAATTGCTTGAACCTGGGAGGCGGAGGTTGCAGTGAGCCAAGATGGCACCATTGCACTCCAGCCTGGCGACAAAGCGAAACTCCCTAAAAAAAAATAACAAAAGTCCCTCCTTACAAGAGTTGTTACTATGAGCCATGAAAGGTGGCTCATGAAGTTACATCAACTTGCTTTTTGAAGTTAGTGTATAGGAGGAGAGATTACTGAGTAAAGCACTACCAAGTTTCTATCAATAATTCAACAAACAGGCACTTAAGATGCACCTCAGATGTGTACTACCCAAGTGTGAGCCCTCCCTGCCTCCAAGAGCTGACAGTCTAGTTGAAAAGATGCGACCTAAAGTAACAAGTGACCATGTGCTAAAAATAAATAGCATAGGCCGGGCGCGGTGGCTCACGCCTGTAATCCCAGCACTTTGGGAGGCCGAGGTGGGTGGATCACGAGGTCAGGGGTTCGAGACCAGCCTGCCCAACAAGGAGAAACCCTGTCTCTACTAAAAATACCAAAATAAGCCAAGCGTGGTAGTGTGCGCCTGTAATCCCAGCTACTCAGGAAGCTGAGGCAGGAGAATCGCTTGAACCGGGGAGGCAGAGGTTGCAGTGAGCAGAAATCATGTCACTACACTCCAGCCTGGGTGACAGGGCGAGACGCTGTCTCAAAAAAAAATAAATAGGCTAGGTGCAGTGGCTCACACCTGTAATCCCAGCACTTTGGGAGGCCGAGGTGGGTGGATTATCTGAGGTCAGGAGTTCGAGACCAGCCTGGTCAACATGGTGAAACCCCATCTCTACTAAAAATACAAAAATTATTAGCTGGGCATGGTGGCCAGCACCTGTAATCCCAGCTAGTAGGGAGGCTGAGGCAGGAGAATCACTTGAACCTGGGAGGCGGAGATTGCTGTGACCCTAGATCGCGCCATTGCACTCCAGCCTGGGCAACAGGGCAAGACTCCATCTCAAAATAAATAAATAAATAAAACAAATAGCATAGATAATATGTTTCCTAAATGTTTTGACAAAGGAGATTCTTACTGCTGTGGGTTAGGCTGGTCAGGAACTAGCTTTAAGGCAGAAGAAAGAGATAAGCTGGGACTGGCAGGGTGGCAGGATTCTGAAAGGGATGGAGGAGGGTCCCACAGGCGGCCTTTAAATTTATGAAATACTGTATTTTATTTATTTATTTATTATTATCATACTTTAAGTTTTAGGGTACATGTGTACAATGTGCAGGTTAGTTACATACGTATACATGTGCCATGCTGGTGCGCTGCACCCACTAACTCGTCATCTAGCATTAGGTATATCTCCCAATGCTATCCCTTCCCCCGAAATACTGTATTTTCATGTCCACACTCATTTCTTTTTATTCTTAAAAGAATCCTGGGGGCGGCACGGTGCGGTGGCTCATGCCTATAATCTCAGCACTTTCAGAGATCAAGTTGGAAGAAAGGATCACTTGAGCCCAGGAGTTCAAGACCAGCCTAGGCAATATAGTGAGACCCCATCTCTAACAGAAAAAAAACTTTTTTTATTTAGCCAGGCATGGTGATGTGCAGCTGTGGTTGATCCCAGTTACTCAGGAGGCTGAGGCGGGAGGACTGAGGAGGCTGAGGCGGGAGGATTGAGGAGTCTTGAGCCAGGAAGGTTGAGGCTGCAGTGAGACATGACTGTGCCTCTGCACTCCAGCCTGGGCGACAGAGTGAGGGGAGGGCAGGGAAAGAACACGGGGCGATAATAAGCCCAACATGCCCCTAGTTTACAGATGAGAAAAGTGAAGATGAGAAGGCTTGACCAGTTGATACAATAAGCAATGAAATCTGAGTGGTTTTTTTTCTTCTAACCCAGCAATCGAGGCTAGTGTGGAAGAGAATGAGAAAAATAATTCAACCAGAGCAGAGGACCTGTGAGGGACATTAAAAGATAGGTTAGGTCAGACTGGTCCCAAATGCCAAACTAAAGACTTTGAACTTCATCCTTTCAAGCAAGAGAAGGATTTCCAGCATTTCGAGAATAAGGGAGAAAGAAACTAAATGCCTACAGACTGGTTAGTTAGCTAGGGACAGGCACTGCAATAGCCCAGGTGAGAGATAATAAAGGTATGAATTTAAAAATACACATAACAAATTAGATTTTAACATTGGTTTTAAACTAAAATCCCCAAGAAAACCACTGAAAAACCTTGTCTCTTTTGTAAATCTGTTTCAGGAAGAAAAACCTCTAACCAACAAATTTCAGGAACATTTACTGAGAGCCCAAAGGGAGTAATAATTGACCAACAATCTAACATCATCAGAGATTTTAAACAGGCCTGATAAATTAAAACTAGAATTGTCAACAATATTGCAGGAATCTCAAGTTCACAAAGTTCAGGCTACCTAAACAAGGAATACTTATATGCAACTCATTGAACATTTTACTAAGTTTTCCAAAAATTTCTTGATTTTCCATTCAGAGGAGTTTCAGTTGGTCAACCAAAGGCCGACTTATTTCCACATGAAAGCCCTGATCCTGCTCACAGCACAGGATCTTGTAAAGGGCAAGGACCCAATAAACATTTGCAGAATAAATGAGGCCAGGCCTACGGTGCAGGAACTCCCTCCATCACAGGCGACTCGAATGCTAGTCTATTTCGAATAAAGATCTCAACATCCCGGAATCAAGTCTGGAAGAAAAACCCTCCGGTTAGCGTTCGCCAGCCTTCCCAGGTCGGGCCTCCTGCAAGGCCCTCAAGGCGCTGTTTTCCCAAAGTAACGCCACCGTGCCACTTCCCAAAGATGACAACCTCTCAGCTCCCTGCCATGTTACCCTCTCTCCAGCCAGATCCAGGAGTCGCGGACGCCTGGGGAAGTCTCCCAGCGGCCCGATCCGCGTCAGAGGAAGCGTTTTCGGGAGAGGGGGCTGCCGCCACGACAAGCGCCTTCCCGCGCCCTACTCACCGTGGCCGGGCGGCCGTGCTCGGGGCCGTCAGCGGCGTCCAGGCGCGGGGCCGGGGCGGCGGGCGCCGGGGCCGTGGCGGCGGGCGGCTGCCTGTGCTTCCCGGCGCGCTTGGCCTTGGCCTGGATGCAGCGCTGGTGCAGGGCGAAGGTGTGTTGGCGCTCCAGCTCCAGGCGCTCGGGCGACACGGCCTCGTAGCGGGCCTCGCAGGTGCTGTGGTGGCGCCGGCACAGCTCGATGCGCCGGCGAAGGCGCTCCATGACCGCGCTGTGCCGCGGCAGCGCGAACTCCGCCATGGGGCAGGTGGGCAGCACCATGGGCCGCGGGCTGCACGGGCCGGGCCCGGGGCCGGGCCTCTCGGGGCCGGCTGGCACTGCGGGCTTCGCTCCCCGCGGCTACCCCTCTCCGCCTCACGGCCGCGCCATGCCCCCGAGGGCAGCGGAGCGGGCTCGCGCGCGGCGGCGGGTTTTCCTCCTGCCCCGCTCGGCCCGACCCCCAGCCGGCGCTTGCTGCCTACCTCAAGCCTCGGCCTCTCCCCACCGCCCCGGCCCCATTGTTTTCCGCGCTACCGCCGCGGCCGCCATCTTAAAATTGTTTTCGGGCCTCTCGGAAGAAGGCGGGGCCTCGGTAAGAGACCTTGTGCATCACGACTGATGAGCAGGGGCCCTGGCCAATCAGAGAAGGAAGAACCGGCCGCCCGAGGGCGTGGGGACGAGCACGCAAGAGGCGCGCTCGGGCGCCAGAGCGGTATTTAAAAGGAATTCTCAAGCGAAGGGCGGAGGGAAGCCCCTGGGCGGGCCTTAATCCTGGGGGCGGAGCTAAGCGTGACTGACAGGAGCCCGTCCAAGAGGCGGCTATTGGTTTCCTGCACAGCACCCGCTGAAGGCAGGCCCTTCCGGCTACCCCGAGAAAAGGGGAATCTGGCAGGCGAGTGCGGCGCAGCTGGCCAGTCCCTGTCGCCCGCCTGGCAGTACAGAGACCTTTTTTTTAAATTATTTTTTAAATTTCGACTTTGATAAACTCTAAGTAGCCACGCTATTTTAATGTCAGCCGTTTTACTTTGACCTTATTCCTTGTATCCAGCCCCATAATTGGTCAGAATCGTCTAGTGAGCTGGTAGTTTCCTCTTGCAACATTCCGAATCACTGGTAGTTTCCACCTATTTGTAAAAGCCCGAGCAAGTTTCAAAAGTGCAGTATTACTCACTACTTAAAAAAAAAGTCCAGAAGATGTGAGCAAAAGCATGCAAGAGTGCAGCTCCATTAGAGGGAACTGGAAATGCAAAGGACGACGTTTCACCACAACCACCGCCTTCCAGGCTCAAGCGATTCTCCTGCCTCAGCCTCTCCAGTAGCTGGGATTACAGGCATGCGCCACCACGCGCGGCTAATTTTGTATTTTTAGTAGAGACGGGGTGTCTCCATGTCGGTCAGGCTGGTCTCCCACTCCTGACCTCAGGTGATCCGCCCACCTCGGCCTGCCAAAGTACCGCGATTACAGGCGTGAGCCGCCGCGCCGGACCAAAAACAGTCCTTTAGGTAAAACTGAGTTACTCAACAAAACCAAACCAAGACAAATTATGCCCCATTATTAAAACTAATAGGCAAAGGGGAGTAGAGGGACTGGAGCAATCAAACAGTGTTAGTACTAAAACTAGATAGTGTGATGCCAAAGGATATCAGGAACTCTAGATATGGGCACTCTAATTGCTAAAAGGTTAAGCAGGAGGTGGCAGGAGGCTGCACATTGAGATACACCATCAGTAGTTCAAACATTCGTTACTCTAGCTTTTTACTAGGGCTCATGAGGTTTTATTTTAAAATCAAGAGAAAACAACAATCAAATATGTCTTCATACAAACGCAGCAGAAAAATACAAATCCTAATGTTTTAAATGGAGAAAGTGGGCCACCAAGGCAAAAGTGCCATAATGCAGTCCTGCTTTTTTTTTTTTAGCATTCAAACAAATTTTACACCAGAACTAAACTATTTCTTAATAGAAAAAATAGTAACTAGGAGCACTACATTCTGTGTACATACTTTTCTTTAGTATGTAATCTAAAAATTTAATAGCACATAAAAAACTGGGCTAACTTTCAAAAATACCCCTAAAGTATTTAAGTATATGTAAAATAATGGAGTCTGATTCTGAACAAATAATTTTCTAATAAAAATTTCAAAGTTCAATGGTTCCCCTAAGTCTTAAAGAATATTATCTACAAATTATCAGTAGCATTCCCTCCTTTTCTGAGCTGCTGTCCACACTATTATACAACAGAAACTACTGCACCGCAATCACATGGGCAGGAAGAGGCAAGGGCTAGACAGAAAAGACTGCATCAAACTCACGTGGTGAGATAAAAGTCATTATTTCACTGTCCATAATAGTTTCTGCCTAGTAGTGAACTCTCACATAGTGGCCAATTATACGAAGATCAACCCACTAATTGAACATAGTCACACACACACACTGAAGGTTACTATGAAGAAATTCAGTCAAAAGCAGACACTTAACACAGGGCTTTAATGTAACACCATTTAGTAACATGACAAATTGAAAAGTGAGGAGTACTTTGTGGATAAGAAAATGGAGGAACACATCTGATGGAGAGTGGGCATTTGACAACAATGGAACAGGTAACCAGCATGTAAAATCAAAATATAAGTGTCTTTTTAAGAGCTGAAAGCTGCTGCTGGTCATTCATTAATGTGTCAGACATTTAATCAGGATGCTGGACCTTCAAAATAACTGAAAAAAGAACCAAGAAAAGGCGTTTTTGTTTTCAACAAACTTTACTAAATAACCCTGGAAAGGCAATGAACGATCTGACAATTTAAGCTCTAATGATTTAAAGCTCAGCTAGAAGAAAGTGAGGCATGACATATACTGTCAACGGAGGGTGAAGGAGGCAGATTTCTGGAAATGCAATGATCCCACACATTTGCTTCAAGGAGAAACCTGCAGACATATTTTCAGGTCTTGCTAAGTAACAACTGTTTATTTGTAATCAATACATTTGGGAAAGTCTGCTATGTAGCTAAGGTCACTGTGACCACAGAACAACAGATGAAAAGGAAAAAGCACTGAACAGCAAGAAAAATACATCCCATCCTCAAAAGAATTTAAGTGAACAAACTTTAAAAAGAAAAAAAAATAGATACAGCCTTCATCTTTTACAAATATATTTCCTTCCCAATATCTTCCCAATATAAACACTGTGGAGTGTTTATATATTCAGTGCAAGAAACAGTATCATCGGTACATTTGAAAGCCTCTAAAGAACAACTGAAGCTAAAATAATATCTAACTCTGAATACGTTTCAGTGTAGAGTAATAATAACATTATTACACTATAGTGGTGTGGGAGAGGCTCTGATAGCACCCATCTGCATCCCGCATGAAAAAACAAACCTAAGATCACTTTTTTAAAAATTCTACAAGCCACGTTAAAAAAAAATTTGAACAGGACTGCTTTATTGTGTAATTTATGACACAACTGTTACATGAATTGCAAATGAAGGCTTAAAATATATAGCAGCTACAAAAAAAATCAGATAACTCATGCTTCATGTCACTCCTCCCACAAATACTTCTAGTCTGTTCAACTGCAGTCAATTCTGTATTGGTTTGCCTGTGAATTAGACTTCTCAAGTCTTTACACAGAGTAAAAGAAATGGATAAAAATCAAAGTATTTTTCTGTACTTTGTATCAATGTATTCTATTCTGTACTTTGACCCTGGAAAGGTATGGGTCTGCTTAAAAGAAAGAAGAAACATACACGTAATCACAATAAAGCTTAACATTATGCAGGGCTTATAATCATTTTCAGCAACGGACTGCAAGCTGCACTGTGAAGAAAATGCATAGCAGAGGAGAAAGCTGGGGATCTGAGGAAATAGGTAAGGAAAACAGTGTCAACACACAGTGGAAGAAGTGATGAAGACATCTATTCCGGAGCTCACGTGCCATGCCCTGCTAGCATTCCTTAACAAGCCACCTGCTCCAGAAGGCCACAGCCTGACCCTCCCAAGTGGAATATAAATGCCCAAGTGCCACATGAAGCCACCTCCTCCACTACCTAAAAAGCTGTCTGGGAACTGAGCTACAGAACACACACACTTTCTGGTCTAACAAACATCAAGTGAAAGAATTTTTTCTTATATATCTATTTTTAATACAACTTAAACGCAACTTTTATATGAATTTGGGCTTCTATTCAGTCCCTCTCCTCAATTTCCTTAGGAGGAACTCAATAATGGAAGCAAACAAAACAAGATTCTAACCACAAATGACTGCACTTTAAACGTAATTATCAATTTTGAGGGACAGAGGTGTGAATGTTTTACAATACCAAACTTTAAAAAAAATCTATTATAAAAACTGCAACTCATCTCCCTAACATTTTTAAATGGTGGTATTATGTTTGCACAAACAGATTAATACATTAAATTAAGCCAAGATCTTAAAGACTGGCAAAGTTCTATCATTCTATTTTAAAAACAAAGATGTTAAAAAAAAAAAAGTTAGTTTGCTTCATGTTACATTTCACAACCATTATGTTAAATGTTTTCTTTTCTACAGAAACAGGGTCCTTTATATCACAACTGCAAGTATTTACTGCTAGATGTTTAAAGTTACACAGACTAGTGTTCAACTGGAGCCTGCTGATGGTGATGTCTTGAAGTTTTCTGAATGTCAACCTAAGGTGTGCCAGGTCCTCTCCTAGGACCACTCTTGCAGGGGAGGAGGGAGAAGAAATCACAGATCAAGCTCTTAAGATTGTTTCACTCTCTTCGTGGCTTTCTGTTTCTTGGTGATCTGTTCAAAATTTCATCCTCCTATTGATTGAAAAGAAATTCATTATAATTAGCACATTTAAAAAATAATAAAAGTTCACCATATTTTCAAGATCAGCCAGACTGAGGGTAACTTATTTGAGGAAAAAAATGAGGAAAATGATGAGAAGAAAATGCACCAAGAAGAATGGTTGTCTCAGAGGTGGTGGAATTATGCCTACTCTAATTCAGTTTAGTCTTTATTGTTTTCTATAAACATACACTTTTCTCAATCTAACCCATAAACATTTTCTTAAAAAAGGATCAGACACTGTGATTTCTTAATCTTGCTTAATCCCAAACAATCTACTGGCCTATGGCACACTAGCCCCATTCTGAGGATAAGAAACCAAGGATTCATGAAGATGGAAGGCTATCCAAGTAGACTGACTCCAAGGCTGCTGCTCTGTACTCTATCACAAGTTGCTAAGATTGTAAATTACCCTATGAAAATATTCCCTTTTTTTAAATGCACCAGCAACTTTTTAACGTGTGAGGGAGTTTGGGGGAAACATGGTCTCTACTTTTAAGAATTGCATTCTAGTTAAGACAGAACATATCCATGGAAAATATACAAAAGATACAGATAGCAATGATCTTTATTAATAGGAAGGCAGAGTTGTAGCTGAAAGTAAAACCTGAGGAGAGCTTTCCGGGAGAGACCAGATTTAGACACAGAGGTGCTGGGTAAAGGACTTTAGTAAGCAATGGTACATACAGACAGTGACTGTTCCCTTTCTCTCATACTCTATATATCCAATCTACCACAAAACCAAGATCCAGATCTCCAACTAGTTCTCATACCCTCTGTTCCTCTCCTGTCACCCTTTGTGGGGCCACCGTATCTTTCCTAGATGATTACAGGGACCTCCTAACTGGTCGCCCTGATTCTCCCTGGTATATAGGAAACACAGCAGACACAGTCATCATCCTGTGACACCTGTGTCCAGTAGCCTGTGATGGCTGCCCGCTTCACTAGGAGGGAAAGCCAAGTCCACACAACAGCCTGTCTAACCTGGAGCCTTCTCCACCCTTCTTTTCTCCACTCTCTCTGTCCACTCACCATACTGGCCTTGTAGACAACCACTTTAGGCCTCAATACTGGCTGTTCTCTGTGCCTGGAATGCTCTTCCCACTTACATCCCCATGGAAAAGTTCTCTACCTCTTTCAAGTGTTTGGTTCGATGTCATCTTTCGAGTAAGGTTTTAACATGGTGACCCGCCTACCTCTAGCACTTTTAGTATCTTTTCCTGTTTTAATTATTCATCGTTTCTTACTTCCTAATACGCTGTGTTGTTTACTTCCTTAAAATGTTTACTGCTCATTGCCTGTTTCCCCCAAGTAGAATTTAAGCTCCCTAAAGGCAGAGTATCTTTGTCTGTCTTACTCACTGACAATGCCTGGCACAAAATGGGCACTCAACAAATGTCAGTTAAATGAATGAATGAACCCATCTATGGACAACGGGGACAAAAAGTTTAGAACACAGTGATTTGTATAAGAAATACTTTTCAGGGCACAGTGAGGAGAGGCAAATAGACTGTTAATGACCCGAAGTTTCCTTCTTAGCAAGCATTTTATTTTCCCCCTATAACCTTCTGCTTATTTCAGAAAATGATTTTCAGCTAAAAAGATACTTCTGAGATTAATATGTAGCTTAAAATTATCAAACAAAACACTGACCTGTATCACAAAGAATCCCACTTCAACAAAATTGGCTTTAACAGAATTTTTACTGCCATAAGCCACTGTAAACTACCCTATTAAAATATTCCCTTTACATAAATGTACCTTCAGCTTGGTAAAACAAAATGTGTGACCCCTTTCCTTTACCTCTGCTTTAGGTTTTCTGTCTTCCTCCTCTTGACTGACAGTGCCACCATCTTCTTCAGCATCACTTTTCTGTTTCTCTTC
Organism: Homo sapiens; assembly: GCF_000001405.40. Classification (NCBI taxonomy): domain Eukaryota; kingdom Metazoa; phylum Chordata; class Mammalia; order Primates; family Hominidae; genus Homo; species Homo sapiens. Next base: position 179,726,678 of record NC_000005.10, on the reverse strand, counting down.
TAAGACAGAAGTTAAACAACTGAGCAAAACCTTATTATTTTTGGTGATTATATATTAGCATTAGAACACATCTCTAGATCTACAATTTTTTTTTTTTTTTTTGGAGACAGAGTCTTGCTCTGTCGCCCAGGCTGGAGTGCAGTGGCGCGATCTCGGCTCACTGCAAACTCCGCCTCCCGGGTTCACGCCATTCTCCTGCCTCAGTGTTCTGAATAGCTGGGACTACAGGCGCCTGCCACCATGCCCGGCTAACTTTTTTTATTTTTAGTAGAGACGGGGTTTCACCGTGTTAGCCAGGATGGTCTCGATCTCCTGACCTCATGATCTCCTCGGTGGCCTCCCAAAGTGCTGGGATTACAGGCGTGAGCCATCGCGCCCGGCCACTATTTTTTTTGAGATCGACTTTGCTTGTCACCCAGGTTGGAGTGCAATGGCATGATCTCGGCTCACTGCAACCTCTGCCTCCAGGTTCAAGTGGATCTCCTACCTCAGCCTCCGGAGTAGCCGGGATTACAGGTGCCCACCACCACGCCTGGCTAATTTTTGTATTTTTAGTGAAACGGGGTTTCACCATGTTGGCGAGGCTGATCTCGAACTCCTGACCTCAGGTGATCCACCCACCTTGGCCTCCCAAAGTGCTGGGATTATAGGCGTGAGCCACCTTGCTCGGCCAACAATTTTTTTTTTTTTTTGAGACTCAGTCTCGCTCTGTCGCCAGGCTGGAGTGCAGTGGCGCAATCTCGGCTCACTGCAACCTCTGCCTTCCGGGTTCAAGTGATTCTCCTGCTTCAGCCTCCCGAATAGGTGGGACTACAGGCGCCCGCCACCATGCCTGGCTAACTTTTTTATTTTAAGTAGAGACGGGGCTTCACTGTGTTGGCCAGGATGGTCTTGATCTCTTGACCTCGTGATCCACCCACCTCGGCCTCCCAAAGTGCTGGGATTACAGGCGTGAGCCACCATGCCTGGCCAACAATTTTTTTTTTTTTTTTTTTTTTGAGACAGAGTCTTGCTCTGTCACCCAGGCTGGAGTGCAGTGGCCCAATCTCGGCTCACTGTAAGCTCTGCCTTCCCAGGTTCACGCCATTCTCCTGCCTCAGCCTCCTGAGTAGCTGGGACTACAGGCACCTGCCACCATGCCCGGCTAATTTTTGTATTTTTAGTAGAGATGGGGTTTCACCATGTTAGCCAGGATGGTCTCGACCTCCTGACCTCGTGATCTGCCTGCTTCGGCCCCCCAAAGTGCTGGAATTACAGGCGTGAGCCACCGCACCTGGCCAACAATTTTTTTTTAAGAGACAGGATCTCGCTGGGTCTGGTGGCTCACGCCTGTAATCCCAACACTTTGGGAGGCCCAGGTGGGAGAATCGCTTGAATCTGGGAGGCAAAGGCTGCAGTGAACCGAGATCACACCACTGCACTCCAGCCTGGGCAACAGGGCCAGACCATATCAAATAAATAAATCAATAAACAAACAAACAAACAAACAGCTGAGCATGGTAGCGCATGCCTGTGGTCCCAGCTACTTGGAGGGGTGCTGAGGTAGGAGGATCACTTGAACCTATAAGGTCAAGGCTGCAGTGAACTGTGACTGTGCCACTGTACTCCAACCTGAGTGACAGAGTGGGACCTTGTCTTAAAAAATAAAAAAGAGAGAGAGAGAGAGACAGGGTCTCACTCTGTTGCTCAGCTGGAGTGCAGTGGCACTATCCTGGCTGACTACAGCCTTAAACTCCTGGGCTCAAGTGATTTTCCTGCTTCAACCTCCCAAAGTGCTAGGATTACAGGCTTGAGCCACCACGCCTGGCTAAAAACAATCCTTAACTTGACTGTAAAGGTTTAACAACATCGTAGGGTCTTGGCTTAAAGCAGATTTTCTGGACTCTGTTTCTTACCAAGTTTCTCTTCTCCTTCCTCCTCCTCATCTCCCTTGTCCTTTTCCTCTTCCTTCTCTTCTTCCTCTTCCTTCACATCCGGTTGAGGTGCATCAGTTTTCTTATACTCCATACCACTGGTCTGTTTCTGAAATGTTCCCCAAAGTACAATTTTGTTTACATGTTCATGTATTATGTTATATAATTCCTGAATGCCTACAGGCAAAGTTCTGTTCCAGGCTGTATACAGGGATAGATATACAGAAACGAATAGGATGTAATTCCTACCCTGAAGAGCGTGTATGTACGTGTGTGTATGCACATGTGCTTGTGTGTTTCAAGGTAGAACAATAAAAACAAAAGGGCCAGGCAGGAAAATAAAGGTCAAAAAAGTCAAGGTGACTGAGGCACCGATACACAGAATAGTGGCAGAGGCTGAGGCTGGAAAAGGAACTTGGGATCCAGTTACAAAGTGCTATGAATGCCAGATGAAGCATAATCCTCATTTAGCAGAAGTAGAGTCCAAAATAAGACTTTCTTTTTTTATGATAGCATGCAAAAAAAAAAAGGCTAAACAAGAAAAACTAACAATAAGGCTGTGGTACCCCAACATACTGTTTTGAGAGTGGGGAAGGTGAAGGCAGAATGGATAATGAGGAATCAAAGACTGAATTACAAAGAATAGAAATAGCTATGCCAGCAGGCAAAGCTGATTATTGCCCAAGTGGCTAGTTTGGTATCTAAGTTTATTGTTTTTTTTTAGAAAGTTGCTGCCGAACACTATGGAGAGTAACAGATTAGGATAAATAATAATAGCAACCAAGGGGCTATAAATCCTGCTCCCATCTGGGCACAATAAACGGCCACTGAGGAACAGTAAGTAAGGTTTCTGAAGTCAACACCAAACATGGCTTGGTCATTACTGAGCCACTACAAAGAAAACCTCAGGCAACATATCTTAGTTATTTTTAATAATCACTAGAGTGATGTCTCTAAAATTGATTCTAAAAAAAAAAACTTCCTACCTTTCCAGAACAGCAGAAGAGGATAACCAGGAACACAGGAAGGGCTACAGTTAGAATATAGACTACCCACAGCCACGGGCGCTCTTCAGCTGCCTCGATCATCTGCCCCACAACGCCTGGCTGAAAAACAAGACAGGGCTGATTGAAAGTTCCAGCTTTTGACACCAAACATAGGCCGTGCTGTTTTTCTGCAGTTCAGTTATGGCATGGCACTACGCAGGACCTTCTTTTTCAGAGAAAATGCTCATAAAATGTAAAAAAGAAATTAGAGAAAGCCTCCATCCTCTTGCTCTCCTTATAATCAAGATGATTTCACTCTCATAGGTGCAAAAGCTGGCTTCTACATCACCTGCAAAAGGCTCCCTTAACCTCAGGATCCAGTGAATTTCTTATCTCAGTATCCCTGGCTCTCCAATTCTTAAATCGGCCACATGACCAGTTGTTTGAAAATTCTGTATGTAGTGTAAACCGAGATTCAACATATAAGAGTGTATTAAAATATAGCCTAAATGACAAATTTCGAAATATATACCCAGACAAATAATAAAAAAAAAACCCTGAACACAAACAGACTCTAAAGCCACTACATTAGACTAATGAAATCATGCCCCAAAACCCAATATTGTGTCTTTTGCAGGCATATGGTTATACTTTTTATGCCAATATTGCCAAATGAAGAAAAAAAACCTTAACACAGACTTTCACAAAATAACAGCTCCTTACAATAACAGACACAAATGCACAAGCAGCAAACACGAACCTCAGCAGCCCCATCAGCAGCTTTCTTCAGGCCCCATCCATCATTGGCCCAATCATCAACTATTCTTCGATCAGCACAAATGATAAAGTTGTCAAAAAAAATGTCAGAGGTCATGGACCACAGCTCCAAACCAATAGCACTAAAAGGAGTCATTCTGAAAGGTTCCAGATCTTCAAAGAAATCTGGATTTGGTATTTTCCTGGGTTTCCAGATTCCCTAGAAAAAAAAATGTTTCAGAAAATCATTTCAGATAATGATCAACAAAAGTTTATGGTGAATCTACCGTAAGAGAAATTTTGCATGAACAATGGAGAGAAATGCCAACTTCATGAAACTTGAAATAAGCAACAGGAAAATAAATAACAAATGCTACAGATTATTTTACGCACTCTGCCTCTAAGACTGCAGGATTCCAACTACTTCCAATTTCTACTGTCACCCATGACCTTGGTCCAAACCAACCCCTCAAGTTCCTGGCCCATTCAACAGCCTCCACTCTTAGCAACTGCTAATGAGAGTGGGAGCATAAGTCAGTACGTACTTCTTCAGTGGTGATTTAAAATAAAACGCACATGATCATCAACCAGCAATTCACTTCTAGATAACTACCTAGAGAAATACTCACAACATACACCCAGACATGTACAAGGATTATTACAGCAGCAGTGACTCTGAAAGCAAAAGTGACAATCCACCTAAATGGCCACCAACAGGAGAACAACTAAAGGGCAACTTCTTTTTCACTGTAACTTCTGCCTCCTGTGTTCAAGTGATCCTTGTGCCTCAGCCTCGTGCCTAAGCAGCTGGGACTACAGGTGTGTGCCACCATACCAGGCCAATTTTTGTGCTTTTAGTAGAGATGGTGTTTCACTATGTTGGCCAGGCTGGTCTCGAATGGCTGACCTCAGGTGATCCACCCACCTCAGCCTCTCAAGTGCTGGGATTATAGGCGTGAGCCACTACGCCCAGCCTAAAGGGCAACTTTTTTAAAGTAAAACTTTTATCTTATTGTTTGACTACACAATTAAAAATACATTCACATAACATCTTTAACGACTATGAGGAAAAAAATAAAAAATTTACAAACAGAAAAACATATATTAGTATATGTATATATACATATACTATGCCAAGATCCTGCTGAAATGTTTTCACAGTATCAGACCAGCTTCTCCTGTTTCTGTATATGTATATACATATATTAGTATTTGTATATAAATAAAGTAGAAATTAATGATTATAAATAATTTTAATTGCCACTCTTTGTAGAGATTATAAATAATTTTACTTGGCTAGAAAGATAAAAGGAACAAAGGTCTGAGGGTGTACATTTTTGCATGAGGCCTAAAGCCTCACAACCTTACTACTTGTATCCTTACCATCTCTTTTGGGCCTCAGTCTTTTTATAGTTGCAAGCATTGAGGCCAAGCAGTGAGCTGACTTGATGTAGTCAAGATGCTGACTCAAACCACAGTCCTCTACCCACCACATCACAGATTGTCCAGACTCAGCTGTGGATCCTATGGCTGAAGCAACCCTAGCACCCAAGAGCAGGGTACCCAAATCAACAGTTTTCCATTTCTCTTTTGTTTTTAAATATAGTTACAAAGCAACTATGAAAGTTATTCTTGGCTGGGCACAGTGGCTCCCGCCTGAAACCCCAGGACTTCGAAAGGCGAAGGCAGGTGGATCACCTGAGGTCAGGAGTTCGAGACCAGCCTGGCCAACATGGCGAAGCCCCGTCTCTACTAAAAATACAAAAAATCAGCCAGGTGAGGTGAGCACACCTGTGAGCACACCTGTGCTCCCAGCTACTCGGGAGGCTGAGTCAGGAGAATTGCTTGAACCCAGGAGGTGGAGGTGGCAGTGTGCCGAGACTGAGCCATTGCACTCCAGCCTGGCCACTAGAGTGAGACTCAGTCTCAAAAAAAGAAAGTTGACCAGATGCAGTGGCTCACGCCTGTAATCCCAGCACTTTAGGAGGTTGAGGTGGGCGGATCGCGAGGTCAGGAGTTCGAGACCAGCCTGGCCAACATGGTGAAACACCATCTCTGCTAAAAATATAAAAATTAGCCAGGCGTGGTGGCAGGCACCTGTAATCCCAGCTACTCGGGAGTCTGAGGCAAGAGAATCGCTTGAAACCGGAAGGCAGAGGTTGCAGTGAGGCGACATCACACCACTGCCCTCCAGCCTGGGTAGAAGAGCGAAACTCCATCTCAAAAATAAATAAATAAATAAATAAATAAATAAAGTTAAAGAAAGTTATTCACTCCAGTTTCTAGGTTTATCTTTGCAATACCTAACCCATTAAGCTCTCTTTCAACTTAGGAAGTCTACTTTCTGCTTTTAATTCAACAGCTTGAATATAATGACCAACCTGGCAGCCTTACTCTAGATAAAACTTCTATCTGAATACAAACAGATTAATGAAAGCAACTCAACCATCAAGAGGCACAAACCTGGTAACTGGGATTGTCAATCATAGGAGGCTTCCATTTGCCTTTATAATTGGGGTTGTCAATCACAGGTCGCTGCCAGACACCACATCCAGGAGCTGACTCACATCTAGGGTTGGCAATCTGAGGAGCCTCCCATTCTCCATCCATGTCTTCATCCCTACGGAGGTACAAACAACAAATTATAAACAGGTTCTGTGATGCAGGACTATGAACAGCTGGCTGGCCCAGGGCTGCCAAGATCCTGCTGAAATGTTTTCACAGTATCCCAGACCAGCTTCTCCTGTATTTCCAGTAATAACAGTTTTTCAGGAAAAATTTATTTTTTAAAAAAGAAGAAAATATAATTAAAATTGTCAAATTCTACCCTGAAATTAGGGAACTTGGCTATATTTAAGTATTAAGATTGACTTCAATAAAAACAGGTAACTTATGCTGGGTGTGGTGGCTCACGCCTGTAATCCCAGCACTTTGGGAGGCCAAGGCAGACAGATCACTTGAGGTCAGGACTTTGAGACCAGCCTGGCCAACACGGTGAAAGTCCGTCTCTACTAAAAATACAAAAAATACAAAAATTTGCCGGGTGTGGTGGCACACACCTGTAATCCCAGCTACTCGCAAGGCTGATGGAGGAGAATCACTTGAACCCAGGAGGTGAAAGTTGCAGTGAGCCGAAACTGCGCCACTGAACTCCAGCCTGGGAGACAGAGTGAGACTCCATCTCAAAAAAAAAAACAAACAAAAAAACCAGGTAATTAAAAAAAGTTAACTGAAGTTCTTACCAATCCTCAGGTTTCTCTGCGTCTGGATCAGGTACGTACTCAGGCTCATCATCTAACCAGCCTTCGGGTTTTGTGGCCTCTTCATCTGGAATCTTAGCAGGGGCATCTTCATCCCTTAAATACAAAAGAAAAAGCCAGTTATGACAACACTGGTCACAGTATAGTACCACTTTGTGGATCAGAACAGAGTATTCTAAAAAAATTTGTTTTTAATCTCAAAATTTAAAATAATTCCTCTTAGAAAATACTTGTAAATCATATATCTGCTAAGGGCCTAGTAAAATAACTCTTTACAACTCAATAATATAAAGACAACCCAATTTAAAAATGGGCAAATGATTTTAATAGACATTTCTCCAAAGAAGACATACGAATGTAAAAATATACAATATGAACATACAATAAGCACACGAAAAGATGCTTAACATCATTAGCCATCAGGGAAATGGCAAATCAAAACGATACCACTTAGTACCAAGTTGGCTCTAATAAAAAAGACTCATAAAAACAAATGCTGGAAAGAACGCAGAGAAACTGAAACCCTCATACACTGCTGGTGGGAAAGTAAAATGGTACTGCTCATTTGGAAAACAGTTTGGCAGTTTCTCAAAAAGTTAGTTACCACATGACCCAGCAATTCCACTTTTAGGTATATATACCCAAGAGAAATGAAAATATATATCTATAGCTAGACAGAGTGGCTCATGCCTGTAATCTCAGCACTTTGGGAGGCCAAGGCAGGAGGATCACTTGAGGCCACACCAGCCTGGGCAACAAGGTGAAACCCAGTCTCTAGTAAAAAAAAAAAAATACACAAGGCCAGGTGCGGTGGCTCACACCTGTAATCCCAGCACTTTGGGAGGCCAAGGCGGGTGGATCACCTGAGGACAGGAGTTCAAGACCGGCCTGACCAATATGACGACACCCTGTCTCTACCAAAAAATACAAAAATTAAGCCAGGTGTAGTGGCTCATGCCTGTAATCCTAGCACTTTGGGAGGCCAAGGTGGGCAGATCACCTGAGGTCGGGAGTTTGAGACCAGCCTGACCAACATGGAGAAACCCCATCTCTACTAAAAATACAAAATTAGCTGGGCGTGGTGGCACATGCCTGTAATCCCAGCTACTCAGGAGGCTGAGGCAGGAGAATCACTTGAAACCGGGAGGCAGAGGTTGTGGTGAGCCAAGATCACGCCACTACACTCCAGCCTGGGCGACAAGAGCGAAGCTCCGTCTCAAAAAAAAAGAAAAAACATGCACAGCCAGGCACGGTGGCACACGCCTGTAATCCCAGCACTTTGGGAGGCTGAGGCTGGTAGATCACTTGACATCAGAATTTTGAGACCATCCTGGCCAACATGGTGAAATCCCATCTCTACTAAAAATACAAGAATTTTTTGTAGTAGTGCGCGCTTGTAGTCCCAGCTACTTGGAGGGTGAGGCACGAGTGCAGTGGTGCACGCTTGTAGTCCCAGCTACTTGGGATGCTGAGGCACGAGAATCGTTTGAACCCGGGAGGCAGAGGTTGCAATGAGACGAGATCGTGCCACTGCACTCCAGCCTGGGTGACAAAACGAGACTCTGTCTCAACAAACAAACAAAAAACCCATAAAAATTAGCCAGGCGTGCATACCTGCAGTCCCAGCTACTTGAGAAGCTAAGGCGGGAGAGGATCGCTTGACCCCAGAAAGTGGAAGCTGCAGTGAGCCGTGACCGTACCACTGTACTCCCACCTGGGCAACACAGAGATCATGTCTAAAGAAAAGAGGCCAGGTGTGGTGGCTCACGCCTGCAATCCCAGCACTTTGGGAGGCTGAGGCGGGTAGATCACCTGAGGTCAGGAGATCGAGATCAGCCTGACCAACATGGTAAAACCCCGTGTCTACTAAAAATACAAAAATTAGCTGGGTGTGGTGGCATGCGCTTGTGATCCCAGCTACTTGGGAGGCTAGGGCGGGAGAATCACTTGAACTCGGGAGACAGAGGTTGCAGTGAGCCGTGATGGCGCCACTGCACTCCAGCCTGGGCGACAGAGCTACACTCCATCTCAAAAAAAAAAAAGCAAGAAAAGAAAAAACATATTTATGTAAAAACCAGTACATGAACATTCATAGCAGCATTATTCATAATCACAGACAAAAAGGAGCAAACAACCTAAATGTCCACCAAAGGATGGATAAATAAAATGTGGCATTATCAAAACAGTAGAATTTATTCAATCATAAAAAGGAATGCAGTACTGATACATGCTTCAACACAGATAAACCTGGAAAACACTGTGCTAAATGAAAGAAACTGGACAGAGAAAGCCACATACTGTATGATTCCATTTTATATGAAATATACAAAGTGGACAAATGTAGAGAGGCAGAAAGCAGGTTAGTGGTTGCTGGGAGTTGGGGGAGGAAACAGGGAGTGGCCGCTTAATGGGTACAGGGGCCTTCTTAGGTGATAAAGCTAGTTAAGGAATATAATACTGAACAAGGCTAAGTCCAAATCTAATATACACCAAATATACAAGTAAACTTGGCATTTATACTAGTGCAGTACAAAAGTTCAGTTATATGTATCTTACCTTTCAAGGAGGAAAAAGATAATCTAGAATGTAATTGCTAAGCATAGGAGGATATTTTACAAAGGGTAAGAATTTCTTTGTTCACTTTCTGACATTTCTGGAGTCACTGTGTGAAGTTGCAAGTTCAAAGACAGCCATATACAAGAATACAGCCCCAGCTATCTTCATTTCTCCTCACTCTTCAATGTGCACCCTACATAAAAGGCCATGTAATTTCTCCCTCGCATGTCAAGCTCATTGCTGCTCCTCTACTTCTGCATACGACATTCTTCAATCAGAAACACCCCTTCCCATATTCACCAACTCCTTAATTCTCACCTCACTGCCAAGTCTCAATCTGATTTGCCTTGCTCCAAGAAACCATGCCTAGTTTAGGTACACCTGGTGCTCTGGTCTCCTGTGGCACCTTCTCATGAACCCTTACGATACCACATGCCAACATCATGCCTCACAACTGGACTTCAAGCTCTGTGTAGGCAGATGGTGGTGTCCTTGTGGCTTTGTATTCTACCACCCAACCCACAGCAGAGAATTGACTGTTGTTTAAATAGGAAAAAGGTTATTTTTCAAATTAAAATTTAGCATTTCAGAACTTTGGCTTTAAATGTGAGTTCACAGAAGCCCTGGAGTAGCCAGGTTAAAGGACCTGAGATTCTGCCACAAACCAACAGTGTCACCACAGACAAACTCTTATCAAGTGTGGCATTCTGTGGCTTGTAAAATGGTGAGTCAATCCAGATGATTACACTATGGCCCCTTTCCAGCTATAGTACTCTATATTTTCCCTACAGATTAGACTGCATCATGGATTACTGAAATTATCAGAGCTTACTCAACCAACATTTCGTTGTTCAAGCCACATGGAATATATGAAATGCTCCCTTACACTTGAAGACAGTTCCCCAAGACTCACCAGTCATCTGGCTTGACAGCTTCTGGATCTGGGATTTTTGGTCTTTCATCCCAATCCTCGGGCTTCCGGTCTTCTGGGTCCTCAATTTCACGTGAAGGATTTACAGGAGGAGTCATGTCATTGAGCAGATTTCCACTATTCACCACAGATTGGTCAACCAGTATTTCAAAACTATTATCTGGATTCAAGACTGAAAGAAACATTAAATGGAATTAAAAGTACTTAATTTTCCAAGCTCCCTTTACCATAATACAAAAGATCATGACTTCTAACGTGAAGCAGCAGAAGTCTGACCTGAGGCTTTGGGGTAAGAACAATGCCTGGCTCCTGGGGTCTTGGGGAAGCTAACGCCCATTTCCTTATGCACGAAACATAAATGATTAGTCCCTCGGCTTTCTAAGAATTACAGCAAATGATAGTTAAAATCTTTAACACCAAAGACTTGACTTATAGACACTAAAAAAAAAAAACAAAAAAAACAAGAAACTACATAAACTAACACAATTATTGGGCTTACACATATACACCAGTGAGAAGACAAATACGTGGACTTACAACTACTTCCCAGTACAAAAGGTCCATTTCTTCATTTTTAATAGAGCTGGTATTATTACGTTACTGAAATTACACAAACCTCCAATTTATTAAAACGCATGTCCACTCATGATTCTACTTTCTACTTTTTAACTCCCATGGAGAATGAAAAAACAATTTTAAATCCATAAAAGCATTTTTTAAAATTTTATTTTATTTTTTTGAGACAGAGTCTCGCTTTGTCTCCCAGGCTGGAGTGCAGTGGTGTGATCTCGGCTAACTGCAACGCCCGCCTCCCAGGTTCAAGCGATTCTCCTGCCTCAGCCTCCGCAGTAGCTGGAACTACAGACGGCCCCGTGCCACCATGCCCAGCTAATTTTTTGTATTTTAAGTAGAGATGGGGTTTTGCAATGTTGCCCAGGCTGGTCTCAAACTCCTGAGCTCAGGCAATCTGCCCAACCTCAGCCTCCCAAGGTGTTAAGACTACAGGTGTGAGCCACCGTGCCCAGCCACATGGGCCCCATAAAAGCATCTTAAGTGTGATGTATATTAAAGCCCAGATTCCACACCTAGATATCTAATACACAGGAGACTGAGTTACAGCACATCCAAACAAGGAATCCTATGCTGCTGTGTCAGTGATAATGAAAATGAATATTTCTGTGAGGAAGAACTTCACACTCTTTTGTTGTTAAGAAACGGGTGTGGTGGCTCATGCCTGTAATCCCAGCACTTTGGGAGGCTAACGCAGGTGGATCACTTGAGGCCAGGAGTTCGAGACCAGCCTGGCCAACATGGTGAAACCCTGTCTCTACTAAAAATACAAAAACTAGGTGGGCATGTTGGTGCACACCTGTAAACCCAACTACTTGGGAGGCTAAGGCACAAGAATCGCTTGAACCTGGGAGGTGGAGATTGCAGTGTTTCTGTCTCAAATAAAAAAGGGCCGGGCGCAGTGGCTCACGCCTGTAATCCCAGCACTTTGGGAGGCCGAGACGGGCGAATCACGAGGTCAGGAGATCGAGACCATCCTGGCTAACACGGTGAAACCCCGTCTCTACCAAAAATACAAAAAATTAGCCCAGCGTGGTGGTGGGCACCTGTAGTCCCAGCTACTCGGGAGGCTGAGGCAGGAGAATGGCGTGAACCCGGGAGGCGGAGTTTGCACTGAGCGGAGATCGCACCACTGCACTCCAGTCTGGGAGACAGAGCGAGACTCCGTCTCAAAAAAAAAAATAAAAATAAATAAAAAAATAAAAAAGTTAGATATAGCATGTAAAGTTGTATATGTGTATATACACATATTGACAAATATATATCACAATGCTGATGTTTAAGATAATTTTAAGTGACTTCTTTGTGTATGTTTTTATTGACATATCGTACTTGTACATATTTTCGGGGTACGTGTGATATTTTGATACATGTATATAATGTGTAATGACCAAATCACAGTCATTGGACGGGCCCAGTGGCTCATGCCTATAATCCCAGCACTCTGGGAGGCTGAGGCAGGCCCATCATTTGAGGTTGGGAGTTCGAGACCAGCCTGACCAACATGGTGAAACCCCAACTCTACTAAACATACAAAAAAATTGGCCGGGCATGGTGGCGCATGCCTATAGTCCCAACTATTCAGGAGGCTGAGGCAGGAGAATCGCTTGAACCCGGGAGGCAGAAGTTGCAGTGAGCTGAGATCAGGCCACTGCACTCCAGCCTGGGCAACAGAGAGAGACTCCCATCTCAAAAAAACAAAAAGAACAAAACAAAACAAAACAAAACAAACAAATCACAGTAATTGAAATATCTGTAACCTTAAACATTTACCTTTTCTTTCTATTTTATAGAGACAGAGTCTCATTCTGTGACCCACGCTGGAGTGCAGTGGCCCAATCATAGCTCACTGCAATCTCGAATCCTGGACTCAAGGGATCCTTTTATACCACAGCCTCCCGAGCACCTGGGACTAGAGGTACATGCTACCAAGCCTGAATAATTATTTTTTTGTAGGAACAAGGTCTCACTATGCTGCCCGGGCTGGTCTAGAACTCCTGGCCTCAAGTGATCCTCCCACCTCAGCCTCCCAAAAGCGCAGGGATTATAGGCCTGAGCCACTGCACCTGGCTCCATTTACTTTTTCTTTGTATTGGGAACAGTACAATTCTCTTCCAGCTCTTCTGAAATACACCATAAATTGTTCTAACTATAATTTCCCTACTGTACTATCAAATATTAGAATTTATTCCTTCTACCTTATTTCTGTACCAATTAACCAACTTGTCTTCAACCCCTCTCCCTCGCTTTAAGTGTTTTCTTTTTGCTTACTTATGGCTTCTGAATTTCTATACCTTAAATATGTATTACTTTTGGAAATAACAAAAAAAGGTTAAGCTGGGCTCAGTGGCTCACGCCTGTAATCCTAGCACTTTGGGAGGCCGAGGTGGGCGGATCAACAGATGGCCAAGAGTTTGAGATCAGCCTGGCCAACAAGGCTCTACTAAAAATACAAAAATTAGTTGGACATGGTGGTGTGTGCCTGTAATCCCAGCTACTGGGGAGGCTGAGACGGGAGAATCACTGGAACCTGGGAAGCGGAGGCTGCAGTGAGCCAAGATGGCGCCACTGCACTCCAGCCTGGATGACAAAGCAAGACTCCGTCACAAAAAAAAGAAAAAAAGGTTGTTATATTCTAGGCTGGGTACAGTGACTCACACCTGTAATCCCAGCACTTTCAGGAGCTGAGGCGGGCAGATCACTTGAGGTCAGGAGTTCGAGACCAGCCTGGCCAACATGGTGAAACCCGGTCTCTACTAAAAACAGAAAAATTAGCTGGAAAAAAAAAAAAATAATAATAATAAAAAAAAGAAAAATTAGCTGGGCATGGTGGCACAAGCCTGTAATCCCAGCTACTCAGGAGGCTGTGGCAAGAGAATCGCTTGAACCCGGGAGGCAGACGTCACAGTAGGCCAAGATCACGCCACTGCACGCCCACCTGGGTGACAGAGCAATACTCCGCCTCAAAAAAATTAAAAAGGTAGTCCAGGCGCGGTGGCTCACGCCTATAACCCAGCAGTTTGGGAGGCTGAGGCGGGCAGATCACCTGACGTCGGGAGTTTGAGACCAGCCTGACCAACATGGAGAAAACCCATCTCTACTAAAAAAAAAAAAAAAAAAATTAGCCAGGCGTGGTGGCACATGCCTGTAATCCCAGCTACTTGGGAGGCCAAGGCAGGAGAATCGCTTGAATGCAAGAGGCAGAGGTTGTGGTGAGCCAAGATCACACAATTGCACTCCAGCCTGGGGAACAAGAGTGAAACTCCATCTCAAAAAAAAAAAAGGTTATTATATTCTTCAGAAAGAGGCATGCCTATTTATGATCTCAAACTAGCAGGAAAAGCTTCAATAAACAAACAAACCAAAAAAAACCCTGTATCAAAATGATTCAACTCAATTGTCAATTGTCCAGGTATTGGAGCATCCAAATAAGTTCAACTACAAGATACTTCTGAAAAACTATTTTTATTGGATTTATGTATAATTATAAATATAACTTATTCTATTATTCAACATTTCTCAACAACAACAACAAAAAAAAGGAAGAAATTAGATCAGCAAAGCTCTTTGTAGAAAAAAAAAAAAAAAACACCTTTTTTTTTGGAGTGGGGGACGGAGTCTCACTGTGTTGCCCAGGCTGGAGTGCAATGGCATGACCTTGGCTCACCGTGACCTCCGCCTCCCGGGTTCAAGTGATTCTCCTGCCTCAGCCTCCTGAGTATCTGAGATTATAGGCGCCCACCACCCCACCCGGCTAATTTTTGTATTTTCAGTAGAGATGACGTTTCACCATGTTGGCCAGGCTGGTCTTGAACACCTGACCTCAAGTGATCTGCTCGCCTCAGCCTCCCATCGTGCTGGGATTACAGGCATGAGCCACCATGTCCAGCAAAAAATACCAATTTTTTTTTTTTTTTTTTTGAGACAGAGTCTTCCTGTCGCCCAGGCTGGAGTGCAGTGTCACAATCTGGCTCACTGCAACCTCCGCTTCCAGGGTTCAAGCAATTCTCCTGCCTCAGCCTCCTGAGTAGCTGGGATTACAGGCACCCTCCACCATGCCCGGCTAATTTTTGTATTTTTAGTAGAGATGGGGCTTCACCATGTTGGCCAGGCTGGTCTTAAACTCCTGACCTCAGGTGATCCGCCCACCTCGGCCACCCAAAGTGCTGGGATTATAGGCACGAGCCACCATGCCTGGCCAAAAACACCTATTCTATTCTTAAAATTATCTCGAACCTCAGTTCCTGTGGAAAAGAAGTTTTTTGGGTTTTTTGTTTTGTTTTTTGAGACAGCATCTCACTTTGTCACCCAGGCTACAGTGCAGTGGCAAGATCATGGCTCACTACAGTCTCGACTTCCTGGGCTCAAGCAATCCTCATACCTCAGCCTCCTGAGTAGCTGAAACTACAGGCACATGCCACTATACTCAGTTAATTCTTAAGATTTTGTAGAGACAGGGTCTGACTATGTTGTCAGGCTGGTTTGGAACTCCTGGACTCAAGCAATCCATCCGATTCAGCCTCCCGAAGTGTTAGGATTACAGGTGTGGGCCACCATACGTGGCCAAGAAGCTTCTTTTAATGCTGACAAATTAAGGTCATTTCCCAACTAAGATACTAAAGTGAAGAGATTCTTTTCTTTCGTGGAGGGGGTACAGAATCTTCCTCTGCCACCCAGGCTGGAGTGCAGTGATACAATCTTGACTCAACTGCAACCTCTGCCTCCTGGGTTAACGTAATTCTGCTGCCTCAGCCTCCCGAGTAGCTAGGATTACACCAGCTACTCAACACCACGCCCAGCTAATTTTTGTATTTTTAGTAGAGACGGGGTTTTACCATGTTGGCCATGCTAGTCTCGAATGCCTGATCTCAAGTGATCCGCCCGCCTCAGCCTCCCAAAGTGCTGGGATTACACGCATGAGCAACCATACCAGGCTGAGATTCTTCTTGTTTGGAGGCTGGGGTACTCTCCAGATATACAATCTTTTTTTTTTTTTTTTGAGATGGAGTCTTGCTCTGTCTCCTAGGCTGGAGTGCAGTGGCGCGATCTCGGCTCACTGCAAGCTCTGCCTCCCGGGTTCGTGCCATTCTCCTGCCTCAGCCTCCCAAGTAGCTGCGACTACAGGTGCCCACCACCACGCCCGGCTAATATTTTTGTATTTTTAGTAGAGACGGGGTTTCACCATGTTAGCCAGGATGGTCTCGATCTCCTGACCTTGTGATCCACCCGCCTCGGCCTCCCAAAGTGCTGGGATTACAGGTGTGAGCCACCGCGCCCAGCCTTTTTTTTTTTTTTTGAGATTGAGTCTCACTTTCGCCCAGGCTGGAATGCTGTGGCACAATGATCTTGGCTCCCTCCCAGGTTCAAGCAATTCTCCTGCCTCAGCCTCCCAACTAGCTTCGGTTACAGGCGTGCACCACCATGCCTAGCTAATATTTGTATTTTTAGTAGAGGTGAAGTTTCAACATTTTGGCCAGACTGTTCTCGAATTCCTGATCTCAGGTGATCTGCCCATCTCGGCCTCCCAAAGTGCTGGGATTACAGGCGTGAGCCACAGTGCCCGGCCAGATATACAATCTTTAAATTAAATGGATGATATATATGTAATACCATAAGCCCCCAAACTAATGCTTTTTCTTACTTAGTGTGTAAAGATGTGTTTTCTTATCAGTAAAATAGGTCTTCAGATCTGCATCTGGCCTCTTAGCATGTTTTTCTTCATAGATACCCGTTTTGGGGTTTTTGTGTCGGAAGATGAAGTGCAGTTTATAGTCCTCTCCACATTTATCTGGACCAAACATAATCGTATAAGGGGTCTTGTCATGGAACTGATCCTTCAAAAACAAAAAAGGATTATTTGAAGTCACTGTACTCAAAGTGTTCAAAAGCAACGTTTCAAAAGTGTATGATAATTCCTCTTATAAAATTCCAAATATATTAGTGACAGTTAAAGGAAAAGCTAACTACAAGTTTGTTTAGTAAAAAGGAATAACCAGCAATCATCAGTAAATTTAAAATAACGTTTAAGTGTCTAAAAAAAAGTAATGCACACATCTAGACAGTTATTGCTTCCTCATAAAACAAAGAAATAAGCTTGCCAAAACTAAAACTTACACAGAAGCAAAACCAGAAATTCAGATAAAAACAGTTGGTAACAACTTTGTAATTTACACTTCAAATAAAAAGCACGTTAGCGTCAAAGTCAATTTTCCCAACTCATCAAAAGAGTTAAACAGCAGGGGAGGAAGCCTTTATTTTCACAATTATTACAAAATTCTCTTTTTTTTTTTTTTGAGATGGAGTCTCGCTCTGTCGCCCAGGCTGGAGTGCAGTGGCGCAATCTCGGCTCACTGCAAGTTCCGCCTCCCAGGTTCATGCCATTCTCCTGCCTCAGCCTCCCAAGTGGCTGGGACTACAGGCGCCTGCCACCACGCCTGGCTAATTTTTTGTATTTTTAGTAGAGATGGGGTTTCACCATGTTAGCCAGATAGTCTCAATCTCCTGACCTCGTGATCCGCCTGCCTTGGCTTCCCAAAGTGCTGGGAGCTAGGATTACAGGCGTGAGCCACTGCACCCGGCCCAATTACAAAATTCTTACAAGGTAATAGTGGGTGTCCAGCCACATTCCAGAAATGGGAATTACATACCAGGTTGAGTTCTGGTGTTTTAGAAAGCAGTTTCACATAGGCACCACCACATTCTATTCCATTTTGGAAATTAACCTCATACCTAATATCAGAGAGAAAAGCAGAAAACTGTATGGCATTTTGAAAGATCGAAACTCTCTTAATGTATTTCCTCTCTCCCTCATCTTAGTCACGTTTTATCATAGGTCAAATGTTTACCCTTACAAAGGATTCCATCTTCTATTGTTTTTGAATAGTTATCAAATGCCACAAAAATAAATAAAATTAAATTGAACATTAATGCAGATTTCCAGTAAATTTGTTCTGCAAAATCTACAAGTTATTTAGAGTCAGGAAAATGAGTAACCAGTTTCTTTCAAAATAATGCATTAGGCAGGAAAAACTATTAATTACTAGTTTTGTAATTAATTAATTACAAAAACTATTAATGCAGATTTCCGGTAAATTTGTTCTGCAAAATCTACAAGTTATTTAGAGTCAGGAAAATAAGTAACCAGTTTCTTTCAAAATAATGCATTAGCCAGGAAAAACTATTAATTACAAGGTGTTTAAATTCACCCAAAAATCCCTACCACCACTTATATAATCTCATAATTTTTTAACATAGAGTAAAAGTTACATAATGTCTTCTAAGATTACCCTTTGCAGAAAGCTTTTATCCAACAAGCATTTCACTTACTGAACAATGAGAGGCTTGGTGTCAAACAGGAAGGGCTTGTTCAGTTTAGCAGAGATGGCATGATGCTTGGCCCGAGACATCAACACAAGTCCTTTATCACCTGGAAGCTTTGACTCCTTCATTTCCTCTACCTCCCACTTTCCTACAAGACAACACAAAAAAGTTCCACTGCTTAACTCTACCTCTGAAGGTCCTTTAAATGCCAAAAAAAACACCTCCTAGTTGCATAAATATATTATACTGGGGCAGCCGTGGTCGCTCACACCTATAATCCCAGCACTTAGGGAGGCTGAGGGCAGGCGGATCACTCAAGGTCAGGAGTTCGAGACCAGCCTGGCCAACATGGTGAAACCCCATCTCTAATAAAAACACAAAAATTAGCCGGGCGTGGTGATGGGCACCTGTAATCCCAACTACTCGGTAGGCTGAGGCAGGAGAATCGCTTGAACCCAAGAAACAGAGGTTGCGGTGAGCCAAGATCACGCCACTCTATTCCAGAAGCCTGGGTGGCAAGAATGAGACTCCGTCTCAAAAAAGTAAATAAATAATAAATAAACACACTTTATTTGGCAAATATTATTCAGATATGGCTTTTTAAAACTGTAGTGTATTATACTACTGTCTAGAAATTTCCAACATTCAGTAGCACAGGTGATTAAACAGATCTAATCCTATTAAATATAAGGCTACACATGCACCCCTGAACCTTAAATAAAAAAAAAAAAAAAAAAAAAATTAGGCAACACACAAAGGTGGCAAAACTTCCATGGAAAAATCTTTTTTTTTTTTTTTTTTTTGAGACGGAGTCTCGCTCTGTCACCCAGGCTGGAGTGCAGTGGCGCGTTCTCGGCTCACTGCAAGCTTGGCCTCCCGGGTTCACACCATTCTCCTGCCTCAGCCTCCCCAGCAGCTGGGACTACAGATGCACGCTGCCACGCCCAGCTAATTTTTTGTATTTTCAGTAGAGACGGGGTTTCACTGTGTTAGCCAGGATGGTCTCGATCTCCTGACCTCGTGATCTGCCCGCCTTGGCTTCCGAAAGTGCTGGGATTACAGGCGTGAGCCACCGCACCTGGCTGGAAAAATCTTAAAGCCTACTATGTCCTTTTAAACTAGTCTTAGGAAATGCCATGGAGACAACATGTCAAACCTCTATCTGCTATTATATCTAAACCAAATGGGATTCTCACCATCATATTTGGCAATTTCATCATCGGTATCGTCTTTCTTGGCTTTGGATAAAATCCACCTGTAAATAACAAATCCCAAAATCAGTCTTAAAATGACAGTTGACTTGTGAGGGAAAATTATGTAAATACTCATTAAAGTAGGACCTATTCTGCTCTTAGCCTATTTAACCACTCTACTTCCAACCTTTAAATCTGTCACACAACTAATGATAATACATTATCTTCAACTCACAAACCTATATGAAAAAGTACCAAACCTATGAGATAATTCCACTGATGTTTTAACATCAAGAGAAAATTTTTTTCCTCAATCAAAGAACAAAATATAGGGTAGAGTGGGGGAGGGAAAGAAGTGGAAGTAAAAACCACAAATTCCAAAAGACTATTTTCCTGCATGGATGTTAACACTGAAGATATTAAAGCTAGAAATTTCAGGCCAGGTGCGGTGGCTCATGCCTGTAATGCCAACAATTTGGGAGGCTAAGGCAAGTGGACCACCTGAGGTCAGGAGTTCAAGACCAGCCTGGCCAACATGTCAAAACCCCATCTCTACTAAAAAAATAACAACACACACACACAAATTAGCCAGCATGGTGGCGCATGCCTATAATCCCAGCTACTTGGGAAGCTGAGGCAGGAGAATCACTTGAACCCAGGAGACGGAGGTGGCAATGAGCCGGTATCACGCCATTGCACTCCAGCCCAGGCAAAAGAGCGAAATTCTGTCTCAAAAAATAAATAAATAAAATAAAATAAAGTTAGACATTTCACTATAAAAGATGCTATCCAAAAAGGAATCTACTATCCCATCTTATTTACATGTCTGCCTCTAACATATATTTCTCTGGAAAACACTTACCCTGACAGAGTTCCTCTGTCAAAAGAATCAGCAAAATATACTTCCCCTGTTGGAACTGGAGCTTTGTAAGTAACCTGTGTTAAATACATAAATGAATTAAAAATTTAAATTTTCAGCAACATGCCTTTTTATCTAGAATCTATTCTCCTGGTTTGCTTTCAACTGTCACAAAAATTTCATAGCTGGCCTTCAAATTCAACCCATATAATTGGCCTCTAGCAAGACAAAGGCTGCCAGAGAGATCAATAAGTATTTTCACGAATTTTGCTTTCCCTTTGAAAACGTTCCAAATTTATCTTCACCATGTTTTTCTTTTATATTTTATTAGAGATGATATCTCCCTGTGTTGCCAAGGCTGGACTCACACTCCTGTCCTAGGCCTCCTGAGTAGTTGAGACTACATTTCCCTGCACCCGGGTATCTTCATAATTTTATCATCTCAAGACGTAAAAGGAATAGATTCAAAGACCATTTCAAACCTTGGGAGATGAAGGAGGAGCAGTGGTATCTGGTTTTGAGTCTTCTACCTCTTCAATGACATCGTCAAGGTCATCCTCAATATCAATCACATCATCATCATGTCCATCATGAGCCTCAACAATAGCAGTTCCAAGCACCAGTAACATACACAGCAACCACTTCCCTTCCATGATCTACACATAAAGAGCAAAATCAGTTAAATGTATTGCCACCTATCAAACTTCATGAAGATCACTAACCACTCTCTCATTTAAAATTAAAGCTTTTAAATCGCAGAGCTAAAAAGAACTTACTATTTCATTTCATAGATAAAGAAAGGCAGCCTAGAGAGATTAAAGGGTTTCCCTAAAATCAGTTAAAAGATTCCATTTCTGGAAAATTTCAAAATAAAACTGAAACATACACAACATCCTCATATAGAGAGGATTGGTTACACAGATGTGGGGCATTCAAATACAATTTCCAACAAACTTTTGCATTTGTAAAGTGCTTTACAACAGACAAAAGCCCTTTCATACACTAATTTACAGGGGGTACCCGTTAAAACATTACAATGAAATAACAGAGATGGCCGGGCGCCGTGGCTCACGCCTGTAATCCCAGCACTTTGGGAGGCCGAGGCAGGTGGCTCACTAGGTCAGGAGTTCACAACCAGCCTGGCCAACATGGCGAAACTCTTCTCTACTAAAAATACAAAAATTAGCTGGGAGCGATAGCGGGCGCCTGTAGTCTCAGCTACTTGGGAGGCTGAGTCAGGAGAACTGCTTGAACCCAGGAGGTGGAGGTTGCAGTGAGCACGCCACTACACTCTAGCCTGCGTGACAGAGCAAGAGTTCGTCTCAAAAAAAAAAATTAACACAGAAGATAATTCCTCTCATATTAAGGCTTAATATGGATACGGTTGCTCAAATATCATCAATAGACATGTTTTCAAATTAGCGTTTTAGAACTCAAAAAGAATATTAAACTAAGAACAAGCTACTTTTTAAAATTTATATATTTTATTTATTTATTTTGTGATGGATTCTCCCTCTGTCGCCCAGGCTGGAGTGCAGTGGCACCATCTCAGCTCACTGCAACCGCCGCCTCCCAGGTTCAAGTAATTCTCCCACCTCAGCCTCTTGAGTAGCTGTGATTACAGGCACCCACCACCATGCCCGGCTAATTTTTGTACTTTTAGTATAGACAGGGTTTCGCCATGTTGGCCAGGCTGGTCTCGAACTCCTGACCTCAGGTGATCCACCTGCCTCAGCCTCCCAAAGTGCTGGGATTACAGGCGTGAGCCACTGCACCTGGCCAAAACAAGCTCCTTTTTTTTTTTTTTCCTGAGATGAGTCTTGCTCTATCGCCAGGCTGGGATGCATTGGCACTATCTTGGCTCACTGCAACCTCCGCCTCCTGGGTTCAAGTGATTCTCCTACCTCAGCCTCCCAAGTAGGTGGGATGACAGGTGTGCACCACCACATCCAGCTAATTTTTGTTATTTTTAATAGAGACAGGGTTTCACCGTGTTGGCCAGGATAGTCTCAATCTCTTGACGTCGTGATCTGCCCGCCTCGGCCTTCCAAAGTGCTGGGATTACAGGAGTGAGCCACCGCACCCGGCTTATCTCTTCTTTTCTAACCACGTAAGCGCCCTGTGTATTATATTAGATGTGTCTTGGGGTAGTGGCTCTCTTTCCACGGAGGACCACAGATCTAAAGAAATAAAAACTGAGCTACACAGATGCACAAGATGATGTGGTTGGTAGCAGGTAAATTTTCATTTTTGGGCTTGAGAAAGTACAGGTACAAGGTGGGGGAGAAAACAAGTAGAAGATACACAACTAAAAATGTGTGCGCACACACACACAAGATGTCCTTTTCTCCTCACATCCTCTGCCCACACAGTCACCCAATCAATCATAGTCTTTCACTCTTCTCCATTACTGACATCAGGATACTTAATGTTACCTTATATTACCAGGGCCTCTAGTTTCCTCCTCCTCTTTCAAGCTATCCTACAAGAAGACTCATCACCCAAAAACTATCATGAGTCCATGTTTGCAAAAATTTCTAAGTCTTTTAGCTAGTAATCAGCACCCTCTCCCTCTATAGCTGCTCTACATGCTATTCCCCCAGGAATCTTCAACTTCCTCTATTAAGACCTTATTTCCCAGCCTGGCCAACATAAACATAGCCTGACCCTGTCTATACAAAAAAAAAAAAAAATTATCCTGTCTCTACAAAAAATCAAAAAAAGAAAAATTTAGCCAGGTATGGTAGCACACACCTGTTGTCCCAGATACTAAGAAGGCTAAGGTAGGAGAAGCCTGAGTCTGACAGGTTGAAGCTAAGTGAGTCGTTGGGCAGGGTGGGGTGGCTCACGCCTGTAATCCTAGCACGTTGGGAGGCTGGTAGACTGCCTGAGCTCAGGAGACCAGCCAGGGAAACATGATGAAACTCCGTTTCTACTAAAATACAAAAAATTAGCCGAGTGTGGTGGCGCACACCTGTAGCCGCAGCTACTCAGGAGGCTGAGGGAGGAGAATCGCTTGAACCTGGGAGGCGGAGGATGCAGTGACCCGAGATGGCGCCACTGCACTCCAGCCTGGGCCACAGAGACTCCACCTCAAAAAAAAAAAAAAGACTCCACCACTCCACCAGGCGCGGTGGCTCACGCCAATAATCCCAGCACATTGGGAGTCCAAGGCAGGCAGATCATCTGAGGTCAGGAATTCGAGACCAGCCTGGCCAACATGGCAAAACCCTGTCTCTACTAAAAATACAAAAATTAGCTGGGCAGGCTGGGCGTGGTGGCTCACACCTGTAATCACAGCACTTTGGGAGGCCGAGGCAGGTGGATCACCTGAGTTCGGGAGTTCAAGACCAGCCTGACCACCACGGAGAAACCCTGTCTCTACTAAAAACACAAAATTAGCTGGGTGTGGTGGCAGATGCCTGTAATCCCAGTTACTCAGGAGGCTGAGGCAGGAGAATAGCTTGAACCCGGGAAGTGGAGTTTGCAGTGTGAGTTGAAATCACGCCACTGCACTGCAGCCTGGCCAACAAGAGTGAGACTGTCTCAAAAAAATAAAAAATAAAGTGAGCTGTAATGGCACCACTGCATTCAAGCCTGGGCAACAGAGTAAGACTGCCTTAAACAAACAAACAAACAAACAGAAAAAGAAGGCAGAGTTTCAGAGATATTTGCAGACCCGTGTTCATAGCAGTACTACTCACAACAGCCAACAGTCAGAAGCAACCCAAGTGTCCATCAATGGATGAATGATTAAACCATATGTGGCATAGGCATACAATGGAATACTATTCAATCTCAAAAAGGAAGGAAATCCCATCACCGGCTATAACATGGATGAACTTTGAAGACAATATGGTAAGTAAAATAAGCAATTCACAAACAGATACCACAAAGTTTTAAAAAAGAAGGAAGGAAGGAAAGGAGGGAGGGAGGGAGGGAAGAAGGGAGAGAAAGAAAGCTGAGCTTAATTTCTGGTCTCCTGGTTGGCATCGTGGCTCGCGCGTGTAATCCCAGAACTCTGGGAGTTGGAGGAAGCAGGATGATCGCTTGAGCTCAGGAGTTCGAGACCAGCCTGGGCAACAAAGCGAAGTATCTATGAAAAATTAGGAAAAAAAAAAAAATTAGCTGAGTGTAGCGTCATCCGCCTGTGGATCCAGCTACTCAGGAGACTGAGGCAGGAAGATCACTTGAACCAATAACAGCAGGAGTTTGAGACTGCAGTGAGCAATAACCACGCCACTGCACTCCAGCCTGATGAAGAGCAAGACCCTGTCTCTAAAAAAATAAGTAAGGCTGAGCGCGGTGGCTCACACCTGTAATCCCAGCACTTTGGGAGGCCGAGGTGGGCGGACTGCCTGAGCTCAGGAGTTCGCAACCAGCCTGGACAACCCGGTGAAACCCCGTCTCTACTAAAATACAAAAAACCGGGCCGGGTGTGGTGGTGGGCACCTGTAGTCCCAGCTACTTGGGAGGCTGAGGCAGGAGAATTGCTTGAACCCAGGAGGCGGAGGTTGCAGTGAGCCAAGATCACACCACTGTACTCCAGCCTGAGAGGGAGACTCCGTCTCAAAAAAAAAAAAAAAAAAAAAAAAAAAGTACATCTGTTGGAGTAACAAAGAATTCAACCAGGACTTTCCTGAAAAGTTTTACCAAAAGCTGTATAGGTTTTAACTGTTTAGGTACTTTTATTATTTCCTAGGAGTTATTATAAACGGCGTATTCTATTTGCACAGTTCATTACACTTTTTTTTTTGTTTTTCCTGAGATGGAGTCTCACTCTGTCACCCAGGCTGGAGTGCAATGGAACCATCTCCGCTCACTGCAACCTCCGCCTTCCAGGTTTAGTGATTCTCCTGCCTCAGCCTCCCGAGTAGCTGGAGGTTAATTTTCTGTATTTTTAGTAGAGACAGGGTTTCACCATTTTGGCGAGGCTGGTTACCAACTCCTGGCCTCAAGTAATCCGCCCACCTCAGCCTCCCAAAGTGCTCGAACTACAGGCGTGAGAGCCACCGTGCCCAGCCAATTCATTACACTTTTTAAAGTAGTTTCATGTTCACCATTTTATCTGCCCCTCCCAATTGCCCCCTAAAGGTGAGGAACCCAGGAGACTTCTCATTCCTATTTTGAAGTTACGGAAACCAAAGTGGGACAAAAGCTACCACACTGGGCCGGGCGCAGTGGCTCACGCCTGTAATCCCAGCATTTTGGGAGGCCGAGGTGGGCGGATCACGAGGTCAGGAGATTGAGACCATCCTGGCTAACACGGTGAAACCCCGTCTCTACTAAAAATACAAAAACAAAATTAGCCGGGCGTGGTGGCGGGCACCTGTAGTCCCAGCTACAAGGGAGGCTGAGGCAGGAGAATGGCGTGAACCCGGGAGGCGGAGCTTGCAGTGAGCCGAGATCGCGCCACTGCACTCCAGCCTGAGTGACAGAGCGAGACTCCGTCTAAAAAAAAAAAAAAAAGGTTACCACACTGGGCACACAATTCAAGTTTCATGAGCCTGCAATTCATGCTCACCAACTGCCACTTCATCCCCTTAAGCTGTCTTCCAGGGCAAAGAGAACTCTAACTAAAAGGATGCAATAGTGTGATTGCCAAAACGGCAGCAACGACTTCTGTCAAAACACTTATCCCTTGTGGCCCTGAGAAGATAATGCGCTAAATGAACTGGGGAGTAAGGATAGTAAGGTGTCGGGGAATGCTGACAGCCATTTGCAGATAAGTCAGAAAATTTCTGTTGTGCAACACTGACCCCCACACACAGTTCACTCGAGCATTCTCATGATCCAGTTACCTGGCTTGTGTGTGCACCCTGGCTGATGCACAGGAGAACTCCCACATAGTCCTTTACCTCTGCTCTAAGTATAATTATACCAAATGTACAACAGTTGATCCATATGGCAGTTGCTTCTATTCATGACCCTCAAACAATGTTGGGAAAAGACTGAGATACAGAATGATTTTAAAGATCAATAAAATTCTTCCCCCTTAAAAAAATCTACTTATTAAAAAATTAAGCAAAATCTTCCATTTCCTAAATCAGAGGTAAAAAGACTTAACTATGGTTAATCTTGTCCTCTCAATCTTTTAATATTAAGCTCAGTTTAACTTCCCTCAACCAGCAATCACTTGTGTCATGCCCAGCGGTAATACACAATGCCCGGTTTCTTCTATCACCATAACTGTGACCTCAGGTCCTGCGAAACAGGACTGAACCAGTTCACTAGGATGGCAGTGTATTGGTCCAAAGGCATTCAGATTATAATAACGTACCGCAATGATCATCGAGCAGTTACTAAATGTCGGACTTCCCTGTCTTATTGTATACATATCTTAATTTAATCCTCACAAATCCATCGGGTATTATTATATCCATTACTTGACAAGAACGGGGGCACAAAGGGTAAGAAAACTGCCGAAGTTCACAGAGCAACCAATGACCAATCAAAGACTCGAGCCAGGGCCTTAGCGTTAACCACTGCACGGTCTATCCCTGAACTATAATCCCAGCACCATCAGTACACTAATCGCATGACCTTGGGCCAGTCATTTCATACCTCCAGGCCTCCGGTGTGGAAAGAGATGCACTTAGATGAGCTTTCGGGGGCTTTCCTGCTTTTAACGCCCTGTCCCTCTCCAACTGGATTACTCGCCTCCAGAATAGGTGCTGTAACTGCTAAGTTTCTCAACCACTGCGTGTTCTCCTTCTGGTACATTCCCCTTTCTCTTCAGGGAACTAGGGTCCAGTCTCCGCTTTGGATTTTCAAATATTAAACTGTAACGCTAGTTGTAAACATTCCCTCTCGGTCTAATACCACCCTTCCCTACTACTAGGGGTACCTAGTAGGCCCGATTCCACCCTATACTTTTACCCAGTTACTCCAGCCCACCTCGCGGCTGCCCAGGCAGCCGGCAAAGAGGCCTAAGAAAGCCCTAGAAGCAAAGCCATAGGAATAAGTCAGCTTTCCCAGAGGTCAAAGAAGGCTGTCGGGCCACCTGCCACGCCTCCCGACCCCGGCGGCGCGGCCTGGGCCCGCAACCCAACCAAAGACGCCCGGATTCGGGCCTCCTCGCTCACGGCGGGCGCGTCGGCCAGGGCCTGGGCCCTCAAGAGCCAGCCCGACCCCTCAGTCGCCGGCCACGCCCGACCCCTCAGCCGCAGAGGCGCTCCCAGCCCCCCGAGGTCCTCACAGGCCCGAGGACGCGCTCAGGTCTCCCCTCTCACCTCTAGCCTCCCGGGGACCGCGGGGGTGCCCGTGCCCCTTCCCGCCCGCACACCTTGCCCCGCGCCGCAGTAAAGAGAGAGGCGGAGGCGGCCCGACCGTCACGTGCCGCAGAACCAAGAGGCCTCGGCCACCGCTGCCGCGCGAGCGAGCCCCACCGCACGAAGCCCGGCCCTGTGCCCGCCCCTGGCCCCTGAGTAGCCACAGCCGGCGCCAAGTCCCGCCCTCCCGCGCAAGCCCCGACATCCGGTTGGCCGGCGTGGGCATCGCTCTACGCACCGTCCCATACGCCCCCTACGGCTATTCTTCGTGGAGTGTGAAGATTGGCCGGGAGTGAGGCAGGAAGTGGCTGTTGGTTGGGCGGGAGGTGAGGGGCGGGCCACGCTGGATCGAGACCGCCGGGCGCGCGCGTCTCGGGGCGGGGCTGGTTTAACAGGCGTTCCCGCGTCGGTTGCTGTGGTGCCTTCGGGGCGTTCCAACCCAACCCCCAGTAGCCCTCACCCGTCTGGTTCCTGGAGCCGAGACTTGGGACGCATCGCGCGCCCTTCGCTGACGGGGCAAACGGCAGCCGGCAAAAGGGGTAGGAGTCCGACGATCGGCCATCAGGAAGGGCCCGTTGCAGCGAACGCGGGCCCCTACGGGCGTGAGCAGAACCCAGCGCGAGCGCCTGGCCGGATTGGCGTGCACTGCTCCGCGCTGTGTGAGCCGGCGCCGCAGTTCCTGCAGAGTCATGGCTCGGCCCAGGAGCCTGCGCAGCCTCGTCGCCCAGCATAACACACAGTCCAGAATAATATAATCCGAGGTTATTTGAACTTTCAATTTATGTTTCCTGAAGTGAGATTAGGTGTCAGGGCAGAGAGATACAGGGATGACAGGACGAGAGAAAGGATGGTGCCATGGAAAGATTTAAGATACGCCACCATTTTAGTAACCCACTCTTAGTACATCTTCAGTTTTCAGTATGCTGAGAACCTCACAAAATGGAAGTGGCCCAGGGTTTTTCTAGACCTTTAGAGATCCTGATCTCTTGTTCTCTATTTGTTTGGACACCCAAAGGCTTGACTACTAGGGTGGAAAACACTAGAATCAGCGAATGTATCACTGATCTGAAAAGCCCTCTTGCCACCGGGAAGGGGAAGAAAGGCAGGGTTTGGTGTTTGCATGAGTTAGTATCATCCAACCCTCAACCCCCAAATTTTTTTTATTTTTATTTTTTTGAGACGAAGTCTTGCTCTGTCGCTCAGGCTGGAGTCTAGTGGTGCGATCTTAGCTCACTACAACCTCCGCCTCCCGGGTTCAAGCGATTCTCCCTCAGCCTCCCGAGTAGCTGGGATTACAGGCGCCCGCCACCACGCCCGGCTAATTTTTGTATTTTAGTAGAGACAGGTTTCACCATGTTGGCCAGGCTGACCTCAGGTGATCGACCTGCCTCTGCCTCCCACAGTGCTGGGATTACAGGCGTGAGCCACGGCGCCCCAACTTCAGCCCCAAAATTTGTGTAGGAGAATTTTGGTTTCCTGTCTACCTGGGGAAGCAGCTATTCAAAGCAGAATAAAATTCTGGATGCTACATGATCCAAATAATGAGCTTAAAATGTAGTTACAGGAAGTACATTTGTGAGCAAAAGAGCTACTCCTGCAAAGGTAAGTGCCAAAAGACTGTGGTACTATGGAGAATTCAATGGGATTCTGAAGGGGAGGGACTGCTTCCATCCAGAATGGACTGGCAAAGAGGTCAGAATTGGCTGGGCGAGGTGGCTCTCCCTGTGATCTGAGCACTTTGGGAAGCTGATGCAGGTGGATCATTTGAGGCCAGGAGTTCAAGACTAGCCTGGGCAACATAGTGAGACCCCTGTCTCTACAAACATAAAAATAAAAAAATTAGCCTGGCATGGTGCACACCCGTAGACCCAGATACTAGGAAGACTGAGGCAGGAGTATCCTTGACTCCTGATTGAGGAGGCTGCAGTGAGCTAAGATCAGGCCACTGCATTTCATCCAGCCTGGGCAACAGAGTGAGAACCCGTCTCTAAATAAATAAATAATAAAAACAAACAGATGTTTTACATGGGCATCGTTTGTGCAGTCCAAAGCAATTACAATAGTAACATCAACCTGGATCACCATGACAGATATAATAATGAAAACATATTATACGAATTCCCAAAATGTGACAGAGACCAGAAGTGAGTACGTGCTGTTGGAAAAATGGTGCTTATAGACTTACTTGATGCAGGGTTGCCACATTCAATTTGTAAAAACACAGCATCTGTGAAAACCAATAAAAGGAAGTGCAGTAACAAGAGGTTTACAGCCTGTTTACATTCTGACATGGAGCAACAGTCAAGATTTAGTGTCATGTGAAAAAGCACAGAGAAAGGTGTGTTTCCTTTCATACTGAAAAGGGAGATGTATTCTCATACATGTAAGCTTGGCCAAACAAGCTTACTAGAAAGAAACACGAGAAACTGCTAGGAAAGGTTAATGCTGGAGAGGGGGCCTGAAACTCTAGAAGCAGAAATACTTTCTTGGCCAGGCACAGTGGCTCACGCCTGTAATGCCAGCACTTTGGGAGGCTGAGGCGGGCGGATTACCTGAGGTCAGGAGTTCAAGACCAGTATGGCCAACATGGTGAAACCCTATCTCTACTAAAAATACAAAAATTAGCCGGGCATACTGGTGCACACCTATAGTCCCAGATACTCGGGTGGCTGAGGCAGGACAATCGCTTGAACCCGGGAGGCAGAGGTTGCAGTGAGCCAAGATTGTGCCACTGCACTCTAGCTTGGGTGACAGAGCCAGACTCTGTCTCCAAAAAAAAAAAAAAAAAAAAAAAAAGAAATGACACTTTCTTTAAACATGCATATGATTTTTTCAACAAAGAATCAGGCCGGGTGAGGTAGCTCATGCCTCTAATTCAGCACTTTGGGAGGCGAAGGTGGGTGGATCACTTGAACCCAGGATTCAAGACCAGCCTGGGCAACATGACAAGACCCCATCTCTACAAAATATACAAAAATTAGCTTGGCATAGTGGCTTGAGCCTGTAGTCTCAGCTACTCAGGAGGCCGAGGTGGGAGGATTGTCTAAGGCCAAGAGGTCAAGGCTGCAGTGAGCCAAGATTGGGCCACTGTACCAGAGTAACACCCTGTCTAAAAAAATAAAAATAGGCCAGGCACAGTGGCTCACGCCTGTAATCCCAGCACTTTGGGAGGCCGAGGCGGGTGGATCATGAGGTCAGGAGATCGAGACCACGGTGAAACCCCATCTCTACTAAAAATACAAAAAATTAGCCGGGCGCAGTGGCGGGCGCCTGTAGTCCCAGCTACTCGGGAGGCTGAGGCAGGAGAATGGTGTGAACCCGGAAGGCGGAGCTTGCAGTGAGCGGAGATTGCGCCACAGCACTCCAGCCTGGGCGACAAAACGAGACTCCGTCTCAAAAAAAATAAAAATAAAAATAAATAAATAAATAAAAATAGGCCAGGCACAGTGGCTCACGCCTGTAATCCCAGCACTTTGGGAGGCCAAGGCGGGTGGATCACCTGAGGTCAGGAGTTCGAGACCAACCTGACCAACATGGAGAAGCCCTGTCTCTACTAAAAATACAAAATTAGCCGGGCATGGTGGCTAATGCCTGTAATCCCAGCTACTCGGGAGGCTGAGGCAAGAGAATCGCTTGAACCCAGGAAGCAGAGGATGCGGTGAGCTGAGATTGCGCCATTGCACTCCAGCCTGGGCAACAAGAGTGAAACTCCGCCTCAAACTCACGCCTGTAATCCTAGCACTTTGGGAAGCCGAGGCGGGTGGATCACGAGGTCAAGAGATCGAGACCATCCTGGCTAACACGGTGAAACCCCGTCTCTACTAAAAAAAACCACACACACAAAAAAATTAGCCGGGTGTGGGGCGGGTGCCTGTAGTCCCAGCTGCTGGGGAGGCTGGGGCAGGAGAATGGCGTGAACCCGGGAGGCGGAGCTTGCAGTGAGCTGAGATCGCGCCACTGCACTCCAGCCTGGGAGACAGAGCAAGATTCCGTCTCAAAAATAAATAAATAAATGAAAGAAATAAAAACTTAAAAAAGGAATAAATTTTAGCTTTAGCTTTTGTACTTTTTTCAAAATAGGCAGTATGTTTAAAAGAGTAAACAAAATTGTTGATCCATTTATCCTTCGTATCCAGCTTCTTCTCATAGCTTGTCTCTCCATCCTTCCCTCAAAGCCACCCTCATCCTTGCTCATGCCTACCTTTTGCTTGAAGGAGAAAGTGGGCACACAGAGAGAGGGAGCACTCACATTTTTATCCATTTACTTTTTTTTTTTTGACAGATAAACACTTTGTTTATTCATCCTCCTCCTCATCTCCTCCTCGTCTTCATCTTCCTCTTCCACCTTTTTCCAGGCAACTTTAGCAGGACGCTTTGAGCCATCAAACTTCCCTTTCGACTTAGAATCAGCAACATCCTTCTCGTACTTCTCCTTCAGCTTTGCCGTCTTAGTGATGTAAGGCTGCTTTTCACTGTCATTTAAGTTATTCCACATCTCACCCAGCTTTTTTGCCACATCTCCAATAGAGATGCCAGGGTTTGTGGATTTGATCTTGGGGCGGATTTCCGAAGAGAACAGGAAGAATCCAGATGGTGGCCTTTTGGGGGCACTAGGATCCTTCTTCTTCTTGCCTCCCTTAGCTGGTCCCTTCATTTCCCGATCACAGTGCACTTTATCCGTCTTTGCCATTTCATCAAATTTAGACTTCTCTTTCCCGGACATTGTCTTCCACCTTTCAGAGCACTTCTTGGAAAATTCTGCAAAATTGACAGGGTTTTTCTTTTTACATTCTTCTCTGCATGTCTGCACAAAGAAGACATAAGCAGACATCTTGCCCTTTGGTTTCTTGGGGTCACCTTTAGCCATCCTGGCTGTATTGTTCGCTCTCATTCCTTTTTTTTTTTTTTTTTTTTTTTTTGAGACGGAGTTTCTCTCTTGTTGCCCAGGCTGGAGTGCAATGGCAGGATCTCAGCTCACAGCAACCTCGGCCTCCCGGGTTCCAGCGCTTCTCCTGCCTCAGCCTCCTGAGTAGCTGGGATTACAGGCATAAGCCACCACGCCCGGCCCATTACTTTCTTAATAGTTAGGCTGGTAATGGTCATTTCTCTAAAGTTTCTCTATACTCATGCTAATCTGGCATTGTCAAAATGATGGACAAAGAAAAAGATATGTAACTATGTTAATTGAAGTTTATTTTATTACAGTGAAATTAAACTTTTTTTTTTTTTAAGACAAGTTACCGGCCAGGCTAGAGTACAGTGGCACAATCATGGCTCACTGCAGCCTCAAACTTCTGGGCTCAAGGGATCCTCTTGCCTCAGCCTCCCAAGTGGCTAAGACTATAGGCATGCACCACCATGCGTGGCTAGTTTTTATTTTTATTTTATTTTTTTGAGACAGATTCTCACTGTTGCCCAGGCTAGAGTACAGTGTACAATCTCGGCTCACTGCAACCTCTACCTCCCAGTTTAAGCGATTCTCCTGCCTCAGCCTCCAGAGTAGCTGGGACTACAGGCATGTGCCACCTCACCCGGCTAATTTCTCTATTTTTAGTAGAGATCGGGTTTCGCCATGTTGGCCAGGCTGGTCTCAAACTTCTAAGCTCAGGTGATCCACTTGCCTTGGCCTCCCAAAGTGCTGGGATTACAGGCCTGAGCCACCGTGCCCAGCCTAATTTTTATTTTTTGTAGAGATAGAGTCTCACTTTCTTGCCCAGGCTGGTCTCAAACTCCTGGGCTCAAGTGATCTCCCTGCCTCAGCCTTCCAAAGTGCTGATATTACAGGTGTGAACCACAGCACCTGGCCAACATTTTTCATGTTCATTAACCATATATATTTTTTTTCCTTTGTGAATTCTCTATTCATGTCGTTTGTCCATTTTTCCACTATAGGGTTTGTCTTTTTTTTTTTTTTTTTTGAGACGGAGTTTCACTTTGTTGCCCAGGCTGGAGTGCAGTGGCATGATCTCGGCTCACTGCAACCACCACCCTCCGAGTTCACATGATTCTCCTTCCTCAGCCTCCTGAGTAGCAGGGACTACAGGCGCCTGCCACTGTGCCCGGCTAATTTTTTGTATTTTTAGTAGAGATGGGGTTTCACCTTCTTGGCCAGGCTGGTCTTGAACTCCTGACCTCGTGATCCACCCGCCTTGGCCTCCCAAAGTGCTGGGATTACAGGCGTGAGCCACCACGCCCAGCCTAGGTTTTGTCTTTTTCATACTGGTTTGTAAGGAATCATTATGTACTATGTGCTCATGCGATGGCTCTTGCCAGTAATGCCAGCAATTTGGGAGGCCGAGGCAGGCAGATCACTTGAGCCCAGGAGTTTGAGACCAGCCTGGGCAACATGGCAAAACCCTATCTGTACAGAAAATAAAAAATTAGTGGCATATGCCTGAGTGCCAGCTACTCAGGAGGCTGAGGTAGGTGGATAGATTCAGCCCAGGAGGTTGAGGCTGCAGTGAGCCATGATCATGCCACTGCACTCCACTAGCCTGGGCAACAGAGCAAGACCCTGTCTCTAAAAAATAAAATAATTAGACAGGGGCTCTTTGTTGCTCAGGGGCTGCTCCAAGTGATCATCCTCCATTGGCCTCTGAAAGTGCTGGGATTACAGATGTGAACCACTGCTCCCAGACCTTTAAGAGCTTTTAAACCGGGGGCTCTTTTTGGTTATAAGGAACACAGATGGCCAGGCATAGCGGCTCATGCCTGTAATCCCAGCACTTTGGGAGACCGAGATGGGCAGATCATTTGAGGTCAGGAGTTCAAGACCAGCCTGGCCAACATGGTGAAACCCTGTCTCTACTAAAAATACAAAAATTAGCCGGGCATGGTGGTGCGTACCTGTAGTCCCAGCTACTTGGGAGGCTGAGGCAGGAGAATCACTTGAACCCAGGAGGCGGAGGTTGCAGTGAGCCGAGATCGCACCACTGCACTCCAGCCTGGGCAACAGAGCGAGACTTTGTCTCAAAAAAAAAAATAGGCCGGGCACGGTGGCTCACGCCTGTTATCCCAGCACTTTGGGAGGCTGAGGTGGGTGGATCATGAGGTCAGGAGATCGAGACTGTCCTGGCTAACATGGTGAAATCCCGTCTCTACTAAAAAATACAAAAAAAATTAGCCGGGCGTGGTGGCGGGTGCCTGTAGTCCCAGCTACTCGGGAGGCTGAGGCAGGAGAATGGCGTGAACCCGGGAGGCAGAGCTTGCAGTGAGCTGAGTTCGTGCCACTGCACTCCAGCCTGGGCGACAGAGCGAGACTCCGTCTCAAAAAATAAATAAATTAATTAAATAAAATAAATAATAAAGAAGAGAGATATAGTGAAACTACCTCAAGGAAAGTATATAGGGATGTCAAAGAGCCCAAGGAGAGGAAGAGAGTACTGCCTCGCCTCATGCTATCCCGAGCTGGGATTGCAGTGTAGTGGCTCTTCCTGTCTTCCAGAGCCAAATGACATCTGCTTCATTCTCCCTTTCATGATCAGGCAATTTGACTCATTTTTTTTTCTTTTTTTTCTTTGCAGAGATGGGATCTCCCTGTGTTGCCCAAGCTGGTCTCAAACTCCTGGGCTTAAAGGGATCCTCCCACCCTGACCTCACAAAATGCTGGGATTACAGGCATGAAGCACTGTGCCCGGCCCACTCACTTTTTTACTCAGCTTGGTCTGCCTGAAAAAACAATACACTGGCTAACATTTCAAAATATTAACCAGCCACACAGTGTTGTTTAAATGTATATAGGCCAGGCATGATGGCTCACACCTGTAATCCCAGCACTTTGGGAGGCTGAGGTGGGTGGATCACTCGAGGCCAGGAGTTCGAGACCAGCCTGGCCAAC
The DNA here is from genome assembly GCF_000001405.40 of Homo sapiens. Lineage (NCBI taxonomy): Eukaryota > Metazoa > Chordata > Mammalia > Primates > Hominidae > Homo > Homo sapiens. The sequence goes on along the minus strand of NC_000005.10, from coordinate 179,691,226 downwards.
GAGGCGAAACCCCATCTCTACCAAAAATACAAAAATTAGCTGGGCATGGTGGTAGGCCCTGTAATCCCAGCTACTCGGGAGGCTGAGGCAGGAGAATTGCTTGAACCTGGGAGGCAGAAGTTGCCATGAGCCAAGATCATGCTGCTGCACTCCAGCCTGGGCAACAGAGTGAGCACAGTCTCAAAAAAATGAAGTAAAAAAATAATATATCAATGTCTATAAACATAAACCCACTATAAATTTATAGCTCATATCAATATAAAACCATGTTTATAATTTTACCTATAATACAAACCAAAAAGTCAAATTAACATTTATGTTACTTATTATTTTTTTTTTTGAGAGAGTCTCACTCTGTCGCCCAGGCTGGAATGCAGTGGCATGATCACGGCTCACTGCAAGCTCTGCCTCCTGGATTCAAGTGACTATCATGTCTCAGCCTCCCAAGTAGCTGGGATTACAGGCGCATGCCACCGCGCCCGGCTAATTTTTGTATTTTTAGTAGAGACGGCTTCCACCATGTAAGTCAGGCTGGTCTCCAACTCCTGACCTCGTGATCCACCTGCCTGAGCCTCCCAAAGTGCTGGGATTACAGGCGTGAGCCACTGGGCCCAGCCTTTTTTCAGATTTTTTTTTTTTTTTTTTTTTTTGAGATGAAGTCTCACTCTTGTCCCCCAGGCTGGAGTGCAGTGGCGCGATCTTGGCTCACTGCAACCTCCGCCTCCCAGGTTCAAGTGATTCTCCTGCCTCAGCCTCCCAAGTAGCTGGGATTACAGGTGCGTACCACCACACCTGGCTAATTTTTGTATTTTAAGTACAGACGGGGTTTCACCATGTTGGCCAGGCTGGTCTTGAACTCCTGACCTCAGGTGATCCACCCGCCTCGGCCTCCCAAAGTGCTGGGATTACAGGCGTGAGCCACTGCGCCTGGCCAACTTCTTTTTTAAAACTATATTAGCACAGAGAACACCATGTTGTTTCAGGGAAGGGCAAATGTCACTAACAGACTATCACAGAAGCCAGACTGAAATTTCCATGGGGAAAAACAAGATTTAGCTTCCTTGGTTTGGGGAATATTCCTCTTGGTTGCCAGAAGAGACCCACTGACATTCACACCCAGTGTGATTCACAGCCAGTGTGGTAGAAATGCTGGTGATGTGGAAAACTCTGAAAAATCTTCAGATGCTCTTCTCCTTTCCTTTCTGCCATCAGAATAAACCTTATGTCCTTCAATTCAGACCTGTTGGGACCCGGTAGCACACCCTTCCCTTCCTCACGGGCTCCAAACCTCATCTTTTCAGTGACATTGAGATGGGGATCCTCAAAGGAACCAGGAGCCATTTTTTAAATTGTGAATCTTTAAATTCTGAAGTCTTCATTAAATGTCCTCAAAATCAAGGTCTTCTTGTGAAAGGAGTTAACATCCATTTTAAGTGGGAATTATCCATCATCTCTCCTAACATTTCCTGTTCAAATAATCAAATAAAGACTTCCAGGAGTAGGCAAGAACTTAAAAAAGAAGAAGAAGAAAAAAAGAGGCCGGGTGTGGTGGCTCACGCCTGTAATCCCAACACTTTGGGAGGCCGAGGCGGGCGGATCAGCTGAAGTCAGGAGTTTGAGACCAGCCTGGCCAACACGGTGAAACCCTGTCTCTATTAAAAATACCAAAAAATTAGCCAAGCATTGTGGCGGACGCCTATAATCCCAGCTACTCAGGAGGCTGAGACAGGAGAATCGCTTGAACCCAGGAAGCAGAAGTTGCAGTGAGCCAAGATTGCGCCATTACACTCCCACCTGGGCAACAAGAGCAAAACTCTGTCTCAAAAAAAAAAAAAAAAAAAAAAAAACTTGTTGGGTTTTGTAGCTTTCTCTTTTTGGTAGGCCATGAAATAAGGGAAGTTGTGTACCATTCCTAGTGGTCATCTATGATCGGTCTGACGTATGTTTTCGTTGGTTTTTTGTTATTGTTGTTCTTGCTGTCGTTTTTGAGACAGCTCTGTCACCCAGACTGGACTGCTGTGGCACGATCTCTGCTCACTGCAACCTCTGCCTCCTGGGTTTAAGCGATTCTCAGCTTCCCAATTAGCTGGGATTATAGGCGCACACCACCATGCCCAGCTAATTTTTTATTTTTATTTTTAGTAGGGAGGGGGTTTCACCATGTTGGCTGGGCTGGTCTTGAACTCCTGACCTCAAGTGATCCACCCGCCTTGGCCTCCCAAAGTGCTGAGATTACAGGCATGAGCCACCACACCCGGCCTCTTTCTGTTGTTTTTTTGAGATAGTGTCTCACTCTGTTGTCCAGGCTGGAGTGCAGTGGTACGATCATGGCTCACTGCACCATCAAACTCCTGGCCTCAAGTTATCCTTTTGCCTCAGCCCCTGGAGCACTCTGGCTAATTTTCGTATTTTTAGTAGGGGTTTCACCATGTTGGCCAGCCTAGTTTCGATCTCCTGAGGTCAAGAGATCCACCTGCCTCAGCCTCCCAAAGTGCTGGGATTACAGGCATGAGCCATCATGTCTGGCCAAATATCATGATTGCTAATGAAAATTGACCTTAGGCGGCCGGGCGCAGTGGCTCACGCCTGTTATCCCAGCACTTTGGGAGGCTGAGGCAGGTGGATCACAAGGTCAGGAGATCGAGACCATCCTGGCTAACACGGTGAGACCCCGTCTCTACTAAAAATACAAAAAATGAGCTGCGCGTGGTGGTGGGCACCTATATTCCCAGCTAGTTGGCAGGCTAAGGCAGAAGAATGGCGTGAACCCGGGAGGCAGAGCTTGCAGTGAACCGAGATTGTGCCACTGCGCTCCAGCCTGGGCGACAGAGTGAGACTCCGTCTCAAAAAAAAAAAAAAAAAAAATTGACCTTAGGCCAGGCACCGTCGCTCACGCTCGTAATCCCAGCACTTTGGGAGGCTAAGCCAGGCGGATCCTGAGGTCAAGAGATCAAGACCATCCTGGCCAACATGGTGAAACCCTGTCTCTAAAAATACAAAAATTAGCTGGGTGTGGTGGCGCTAACCTGTAGTCCCAGCTACTCGGGAGGCTGAGGGAAGAGAATCGCTTGAACCCAGGAGGTGGAGGTTGCAGTGAGCCGAGATCGTGCCACTGCACTCCAGCCTGGCAACAGAGCGACACTCCATCTTAAAAAAAAAAAAAAAGAATACTGACTTTATTTATTTATTTTTGAGAGGGAGTCTTGCACCATTGCCCAAGCTGGAGTGCAGTGGCACTATCTTGGCTCACTGCAACGTCCACCTCCTGGGTTTAAGTGACTCTTCTGCTTCAGCCTCCCAAGTAGCTGGGACCACAGGTGTGCGCCACCACACCCAGCTAATTTTTTGTATTTTTAGTAGAGACAGGGTTTCACCATGTTGGCCAGGCTCATCTCAAACTCCTGCCCTCAAGTGATCTGCCTGCCTCAGTCTCCCAAATTGCTGAGATTACAGGCATGAGCCACCGTGCGTGGCTGAAAATTGACTTTAATAACATAGACATACTGTGGAGGGAGAAAGAATGAATATGAATCACTGGCTTGGTTAAAATATTCCTGGGCTCTGATTCCATGTCCATCAGACAACCTTCTGGGGGTTGATTTAAGCTCTTGAGTGTCTTCATGACAAGAAGAGAAAGCTTTCAACAGTGAGCATGAGGGTTTATTTGTGAACACTGACAATCAAATTCTAAAATTTATATGGAAATACAAAGGACCTAGAAAGCCAAAGCAATCTTAAAGAATATTATTGGAAGATTTACATTACTAGGTATCAACAGTATTGGTGCAACGATAAACAGACCAAGCACAAGAACACAGAGCACAGGCCGGGCGCGGTGGCTCACGCCTGTCATCCCAGCACTTTGGGAGGCCGAGGCGGGTGGATCACGAGGCCAGGAGATCGAGACCATCCTGACTAACACGGTGAAACCCCGTCTCTACTGCAAATACAAAAAAATTAGCCGGGCGTGTTGGCGCATGCCTGTAGTCCCAGCTATTTGGGAGGCTGGGGCAGGAGAATGGCCTGAACCCGGGAGGTGGAGGTCGCAGTGAGCCAAAATCATGCCACTGCACTCCAGCCTGGGTGACAGAGCGGTAGCCGGGCATGGTGGCATGTCTCAAAAAACAAACAAACAAACAAAAAAACTGCAGGCCGGGTGCAGTGGCTCATGCCTGTATTCCCAGACCTTTGGGAGGCCAAGGCAGACGGATTACCTGAGGTCAGGAGTTCAAGACCAGCCTGACCAATATGGCAAAACCCTGTCTCTACTAAAAATACAAAATTAGCCAGGCATGGTGGCAGGCACCTGTAGTCCCAGCTACTCAGGAGGCTGAGGCAGGAGAATTGCTTGAACCCTGGAGCCGGAAGTTGCAGTGGGCCGAGACTGTGCATTGCACCCCAACCTGGGCAACAAGAGCAAAGCTCTGTCTCAAAGAAACAAACAAACAAAAACTGCAATTTGAGCAGGCATGGTAGCTCACGCCTGTAATCCCAGTACTTTGGGAGGCTGAGGCAGGCACAACGCTTGAGCCCAGGAGTTCAAGCCCAGGAGTTTTGCAACATGGCAAAAGCCCATCTCCACTAAAAAATACAAAAGTTAGCAGGGTGTAGTGGTGCCTCCCTGCAGTCCCAGCTACATGGGAGGATCACCGGAGCCTGGGGAGGTCAAGGCTGTGGTGAGCCATGATCACACCACCAATAGACTCCAGCCTGGGCAACAGTGAGACCGTGTCTCAAAATAACAACAAGAAAAACTGCAATCATTAAGACAAACAGTCCAATTTTTAAAATAGGCAAAAAGACTTGAACCACTAAAAAAAAAAAAAGATGGCCGGGCTTGGTGGCTCACACCTGTAATCCCAGCACTTTGGGAGGCCGAGGCAGGCAGATCACTTGAAGTCAGGAGTTCAAGACCAGCCTGGCCAACATGGTGAAACCTCATCTCTACTAAAAATACAGAAATTGGCTGGGTGTGGTGGCGCGTGCCTGTAATCCCAGCTACGCAGGAGGCTGAGGCAGGAGAATTGCTTGAACTCGGGAGGTGGAGGTTGCAGTGAGCCAAGATTGAGCCATTGCACTCCAGCCTGGTGACAGAGCGAGACTCCGTCTCAAAAAAAAAAAAAAGACTTGAACAACCACTTCATCAAAATAGATAACAAATACCCACATGGAAAGATGCTTAATAGCATTGGCTGTTAGAGAAATGCAAATTAAAACCTCAATTTATTAAGGATGAGGCTGGGCACGATGACTCACGCCTGTAATCCCAGCATTCTGGGAGGTCGAGGCAGACAGATAACCTGAGGTCAGGAGTTTGAGACTAGCCTGGCAAACATGGTGAAACCCTGTCTCTACTAAAAATACAAACATTAGGCAGGGCGTGGTGGCTCACACCTATAATTCCAACACTTTGGGAGGCCAGGGCAGGTGGATCACCTGAAGTCTGGAGTTTGAGACCAGCCTTGCCAACATGGTGAAACCCCACCTCTACTAAAAATACAAAAATTAGCTGGGCGTGGTGGCAGCTGCCTGTAATCCCAGCTACTTGGGAGGCTGAGGCAGGAGTATCTCTTGAACCCAGCAGGCAGAGGTTTCAGTGAGCCGAGATCACGCCACTGCACTCCAGCCTGGGCAACAAGAGCGAAACTCCATCTCAAAAAAAAAAAAAAAAAAAAAAAAAGCTGGGCGCGGTGGCTCACGCCTGTAATCCCAGCACTTTGGGAGGCCGAGGTGGGCAGATCACCTGAGGTCAGGAGTTCAAGACCAGCCTGACCAACATAGAGAAACACCGTCTCTACTAAAAATACAAAATTAGCCAGGCATGGTGGCACATGCTTGTAATCCCAGCTACACGGGAGGCTGAGGTGGAGGTTGCAGTGAGCCAAGATTGCACCACTGCACTTCAGCCTGGGCAACAAGAGTGAAACTCCATCTCAAAAAAAACACAAATAAACAAAAAAATTAGCCAGATGTGGTGGCGTGTGCCTGTAATCCCAAGTACTCAGGAGGCTGAGGCAGAAGAATCGCTTGAACCCAGGAGGCGGAGGTTGCAGTGACCCGAGGTTGCGCCACTGCGCTCCAGCCTGGGTGACAGGGCGAGACTCTGCCTCCAAAAATTAAATAAGTAAATAAATAGATAGATTTATTAAGGCCGGGCACAGTGGCTCAAGCCTGTAATCCCAGCACTTTGGGAGGTAGAGGCAGATGGATCACTTGAGGTCGGGAGTTCAAGACCGGCAGGGCCAACATGGTGAAAACCCTGTCTCTAGTAAAAAAAAAAAAAAAAAAAAAAAAAAAAAATACAAAATTAGCCAGGTGTGGTGGCACACGCCTGTAATCCCACTTAGGAGGCTGAGGCAGGAGAATTGCTTGAACCCAGGAGGTGAAGGTTGCAGTGAGCTGAGATCATGCTATTGCACTCCAGCCTGGGCAACAAAAGTGAAACTCCATCTCAAAAAATAAATAAATAAGTAAAATAAATTTATTAAGGATGAGCTTGCTGTTAAAAATTTAAAACAACAACAAAACAACAGCAAAAACCCCACAATTTAGACACGCTACCACTATGGCTAAAATTAAAAAGGCTTGGCCGGGCACGGTGGCTCAAGCCTGTAATCTCAGCACTTTGGGAGGCCGAGGTGGGTGGATCATGGGGTCAGGAGATCAAGACCATCCTGGCTAACACAGTGAAACCCCGTCTCTACTAAAAATACAAAAAAATTAGCCGGGCGTGGTGGCGGGCACCTGTAGTCCCAGCTACTCAGGAGGCTAAGGAAGGAGAATGGTGTGAACCCGGGAGGTGGAGCTTGCAGTGAGCTGAAAAAAAAAAAAAAAAAGGCTTACTAGCTGGGCCCTGTGGCTCCTGCCTGTAATCCTAGCACTTTGGGAGGCTCAGGTGGGAGGATCCCTTGAGCCCAGGAGTCTGAGACCAGCCTAGGCACCACGGTAAGACCCCGTCTCAAAAACGCCACCACCACCTTTAATTAAGCGAATTTTTTAAAAATGAAGGTTTACCAAACCAAGTGTTGGCCAGGATACAGAGAAACAGAAACTTTCACTCACTGTTAGTGGCTTAATAAAAAGGTAAACATGCACCTGCCATATGACACAGTCATTCTATTCCTAGGTGTTTACTTAAGAGAAATGAAAGCATATGTCCACACAAAGATGAGCAAAAATGTTCAGAGCAGTTTTATTTGCAATAGCCCCCAAACTGGAAACAACCCAAATGTGCATCAACAGCTGAATGGAAAAACAAATTGTGTGGTGTTTCCATACAATGAAATACTACTCAGCAATAAAAAGCAATGAACTGTTAATAAATGCAACAACATGGATAAATCTTAAAATAATTATGCGGCGAGAAGCCAATGCCAAAAAAAATCTATACTGAGGCTGGGCGCGGTGGCTCACACCTGTAATTCCAGCAGTTTGGGAGGCCGAGGCAGATGGATCACTTGAGGCCAGGAGTTTGAAACCAGCCTGGTGAATATGGTGAAACCCCATCTCTACTAAAAATACAAAAATTAGCTGGGTGTGGTGGCAGGCACCTGTAATCCCAGCTACTTGGGAGGCTGAGACAGGAGAATCACTTGAACCCAGGAGGCAGAGGTTGCAGTGAGCTAAGATCATACCACTGCACTCCAGTCTGGGCAACAAAGTGAGACTCCTCTCAAAAAAAGAAAAAAAGGTAATGGATACCTCCAGATGGATACATTATCTTGATTTTGGGAATGATTTCACATAACAAATTATCGAAATACTTCACATTATACATTATAAATATATGTAGTTGGCCGGGCGCGGTGGCTCACACCTGTAATCCCAGCACTTTGGGAGGCTGAGGTGGGCGGATCACAAGGTCAGGAGATCGAGACCATCCTGGCCAACACGGTGAAACCCCATCTCTACTAAAAAAAAAAATACAAAAAATTAGCCAGGCATGGTGGCGGGTGCCTGTAGTCCCAGCTACTTGAGAGGCTGAGGCAGGAGAATGGTGTGAACCTCGAAGTGGAGGTCGCAGTGAGCTGAGGTAGCGCCACTGCACTCCAGCCTGTGCGACAGAGCGAGACTCCGTCTCAAAAATAAATAAATAAATAAATGTAGTTGATTTTGTCACTTATACCTCAATAAAACTATTACAGAAGTTTCCTAGGAGGTGGCACCACCACCGGGCTCTGCCCCAGCTTGTGAGCTCCTGTGGATCTGGGTCTGTCCCTTGCAGTCAGGTGGGTGGGCTTAGTAGGTAGGACTGACGTCATTTCCTTCCACTGTCCGCACACGTGGCACGTGTCCTTCAAACATGCCCAGCCACTTCCCTCCTCTACCCCCAGGTCTTCAAGGGATTGGGGTCTCCTTATTGTTCAGGTTTTAGCAAGAATGTCAAGGGCCTTCACCGAGCACCACATCTAAATTACTTCCTACTCCTCACCCTGTCCCAAAATCACTTTCTGTATTTCCCTGGTTTGTTTTCTTCACTGTACGTATCAGAATTAGGGTTTTTTTTTTTTTTTTTTTGAGACAGAGTCTCGCTCTGTCACCCAGGCTGGAGTACAGTGGTGTGATCTCGGCTAACTGCAACCTCTGCCTCCTGGGTTCAAGCGATTCTCCTGCCTCAGCCTCCCAAGTAGCTAGGATTACAGGCATACACCACCATGCCCGGCTAATTTTGTATTTTGAGAAGAGATGGTGTTTCTCCATGTTGGTCACGCTGGTCTCAAACTCCCAACCTCAGGTGATTTGCCTGCCTCGGCCTCCCAAGGTGCTGGGATTACAGGCGTGAGCCACTGCACCCGGCCAATTTTTTGTATTTTTATTAGAGACAGGGTTTCACCATGTTAGCCAGGATGATCTCGATCTCCTGACCTCATGATCCGCCTGCCTCAGCCTCCCAAAGTGCTGGGATTACAGGCGTGAGCCACCGTGCCCGGCCTGGATATTCTTATTAATTTAATCATTCCTTTTTTTTTTTTTTGAGATGGAGTTTCGCTCTTGTTGCCCAGGTTGGAGTGCAGTGGCACAATCTTCGCTCATTGCAACCTCTGCCTCCCAGGTTCAAGCAATTCTCCTGCCTCAGACTCCTGAGTAGCTGAGATTACAGGCACCCGCCACCACACCCGGCTAATTTTTTCTATTTTTAGTAGACACGGAGTTTCACCATGTTGGTCAGGCAGTTCTCGAGCTTCTGACTTCAGGTGATCCACCCACCTTCCCCTCCCAAAGTGCTGGGATTTACAGGCATGAAACATCGCGCCTGGCCCTCTTTTTTTTTTTTTTTTTTTTAAACACAGGGTCTCTATCGCCCATGCTGGAGTGCAGTGGCACAATCACTGCTCACTGCAGCTTTCACCTCTTGGGCTCAGGTGATCCTCCCACCTCAGCCTCTTGAGTAGCTGGGACTACAGTCGCATGCCACCACGCCCAGCTAATTTGTTTTTGTAGAGATGGGGTCTTGCCATGTTGGCTAGTCTGCCCTTTCATTTTCATCATCTATCCTATTATCTTCCTCCCTCCTCAGCTGGCGCCCTACTGAGATCCCTATCACTGGTGGTGCACCCATCCCATAGGTGCTGTAGGAGCTGGCTGGTAACTCTCAGCTGCCCTGGCCAATAACTGACATGTAGAAGGAGGGTACAAAAGACGGGCTCCCTTGCTTTAAGGAGGCCTAACTGTGGTGCCATTTGTGCTCAGAGTTCCCCATGAGAGCAAGCGGAAGCTAGTCTCCACGTGAGACCACACTCTGGCTCAGCCTTAGCCTTTTTCTCGCCCTGTCTTGCTTCCCTCACCCCCTTCTCCTGAGAGCATTTCCCCAATAATTCACTTGAACAAGAATGCTCAGCTTAGGCTCTGCTTCTAGGGAACCTGACCCATGACACGCTCTGTTAGCTTCCTGAGAGACTATCTTGTTAGTTCCCCTAGAACAAATTCCTGTCTTGGACTCTGCTTATGATCACTCCCTTCATTCCCCTGCCAAGAATGACAGCTCAGTGAGGGAATATGTTCTTCACTTCCCTAGAACTGTTCCTAGAACACAGTAGGTGCTCAATGATGCACTGAATGCATGCAGGGGAGAGCCCAGAGTCTATCTGACAGCTCAGCGGTCAGCACCCCTTCTTGTCCTGGGGTGGCCTGGCCTGGAGGCATTGTGAGTCATAGCAGGTGGACAAGAGCTGAGTGGGTCAGAGATGGGACTAGCCCTGGGACAGCAGCTCAGCAACTCCACCCCATCTTCCAGGTGAGGCACAACATACAGTGAGGACTAACGGGGAAACATCCTCCGAGAAGATACAATCTCAAGGGTGGGCCTGGATGTGGGCTTCCAGAGACCATCTCCCTGAACCAGATCTTGGGGATGGTATGTACCATCCAGCCTCTGTCCACCTATATGTGAGGGATAAGTGTATTATGAATTAACGAAGGCATAACAGAGGGAACCCTGCTCTAGTTCTTTCTCTTCTCACTGCCCATGGGCAGAAGAGGAATTAGAAACAACACATAGCTCCCTTTTTCACATAATAGAATCAGCACTTACTGGGCAGGGGTGGGGGGTGCAGAGAGAAGTGAGCAAAATGGGACTTGTCTGTTATCTGGACTTTGGACTTCCTGAGGGCACAGTTTGTTTGGAATAAAAGTCATGTTTAGTGTGCACAATCCCTGATACTTTGAGCCCTATGCATAGGTCTAGCCCATGGCACACACCCCAGGATGTCAGTGAACACACTGGACTGTGGTCTATACACGCATCTGTCTTCCAAGCTGGATTAGGAGCACCTTGAGGGCAGGCAGAGGCTGTTTCAGGTCCCCTTCCCAAGACCAGAGTCTGGCACAGAGCAGATGCTAGTTCAAGTCTATCAAATGACTGAATGATGAGGGCAATAATGCTGTTGGCTATGCTAGATATCCTCCCAGATTGCTTTCAGAATCCAGATCTAACCCCGGCTTTCTAATCCTTCAGCAGTTCCCTCTTACCCACAAAAGGAAGTCTAAGCTTCCGAGCCTGCCTGTAGGGCACCTTCACATAGTGCACTGGTCCACCTTCCCAGCTTCCTCTTCTGCTCTTCCCAGCACCAATCCTATCCAAGCTCGTGTTCACATCTGAAATATGAAAGTCCTGCCCTGCCGGGTACAGTGGCTCACACCTGTAATCCCAGCACTTTGGCGCTGAGGCGGGCAGATCACCTGAGGTCCGGAGTTCGAGACCAGCCTGGCCAATAAGGTGAAACCCCATTTCTACTAAAAATACAAAAAAAAAAAAAAAAAAAAAAAAAAGGCCAGGCGCAGTGACTCATGCCTGTAATCCGGGCACTTTGGGAGGCCGAGTTGGGTGGATCACCTGAGGTCAGGAGTTCGAGACCAGCCTGGCCAACATGGTGAAACCCCGTCTTCACTAAAAATACAAAAATCAGGTGGGGGTGATGGCAGGCGCCTGTAATCTCAGCTACTCAAGAGGCTGAGGCAGGAGAACTGCTGGAACCCGGGAGGTGGAGGTTGCAGTGAGCCAAGATCGCGCAATTGCACTCCAGCTCGGGCAACGACAGCGAGACTCAGTCTCAAAAAAAAAGAAAAAGAAAGCCCTGCTCGGCTCTTCCCTCTGCCTAGAAGTTCTCCATTTTCCATCCTCAACCCACCTGGCAAAGTCCTACTCCTCCTTTAAGTACCTACTTACTTGTCTTGCTACCATTCCCTACCCCTCACCCTTCCAGCTGCAACTCAGAACAAGGCCCTCCTCCCGTCCTTCATCTGCATATGTATCCCAGGGCCTGATCCTCAGTGGTCTTTGGGGAAGATGGTTTAGGTGAGACTGCTGCCTGTGCAGCGTGGAACGACGGGCTCCTCGGTGGCCAGCAGCTGGTGAGACACAGCCGCAGCCGTAGCTGCAGGGCTAAGACATGTCCGCCGGCCTCGCGGTTTGAGAGGCGGCCTGTACCAAGCACGCTGCTCACCCGGACTCTTGTCTCCCAGCAGCGCCCCCTGGCTCGCCTTCATCATTCTGGACATCCGGGCTCCCGAGACAAGAGCGCAGCACGAGTCGCCAGCGCTCCCGAGGCTCCCCTTCGAGCACCTGCGTGCCCTACAAGGTCCACGCCCTGGCAACCTTCGAGTGCTCGGCTACGAGCCATGCCAGCCGCCTGTGGCAGACGCTGCAGCAGTTTTGGGCCGATCACATCTCGCGGCCCTTCTCGCCACGGCGGCCGCCACTGCGCCGCATGCCCTCCCTGTCCACCTTCTACCTGCTGGACCACAACACGCGCCAGGCCGAGCTGGGCCTCGCCTACGGCGCGCCGTGCATGCGCCTCAGCAACCAGGCCTTCGTGTTCCGCGGCGGGCGGTGGACCACTGAGAGCCAGCTGGCGAGGACGCGGTCGCCGCTGCTCTCGCGGACCGCCTGGGGCTGGAAGGCGCAGGTGCAGCGGTCCAAAAGCCAAGTGTTGCTGGAGGAGAACAACTACCTGAAGCTGCAGCAGGAACTGCTCATAGACATGCTGACTGAGACCATGGCGCGCATGCACTTGCTGGAGAAGCAGCGCAACCCCGAGGTGATCCCGACGGCTGCGGCGCGCGCCGGGCAGAGGAAGATGCGCAAGCGCGCAGGCGCCAGCGCGGGCGTGCTCATGATCCAGCCGTGCGCTCTGGACTCGCAGTGACGCAATAAAGGCCGCGCTACGCATGCGCGCCTCACGCCTCGGGTCTGCCACTGCCCCAGCGCGGGACTGGCTCCCGCGGTTCCCCGGGTCGGTCTGTGCGTGTGGGTTGGGGAGGTCTGCGTGGCCTCGGGGACTGCCCCTCGGTGCTGGGTGTCGGCAGGGGACGCAAGCCTAAGCTGCCTGTCTTGGGAGGGTGTGATGGGGCCGTGGAGGAGGGTCTGCGCGTGGCTCTCCGGGAGTGCGGAGTGGAAGCCAAGCTTGCAGCCGACATGGCCCAGATAGGGTGGAGTGGCGGGTAATGGCCTTGCAGGCCATCCAGGTAACGGAGGGCGAAGTCCCGGAGACGGAGGAACCGCGGTGCTCAGGGAATGAAGGGTGTGGTGCGGAGGGAGCGGAGGACGGTGTATGGGGTCGGGGACTTTGCACTTGGTCCGTCTTCAGGGCCTCTAGGCTCAGGAGGTTTAGAAACTAGAAGTCCCAGGGTAAGTGTTATTTTACATTCCCAAGAGAAGCTTTCTGGAAACCATGGGCTGTGCGGCCCCCACTTGCCTGTGTGGCATTTTGGAGAGTCGCGTCTCTGTTACAGGCCTTTTTTTTTTTTTTTTTTTTTTTTTAAACTTATTTTTAAACACGGGGTCTCGCTCTTGTCACCCAGGCTGGAGTGCAGTGGCGCGATGATGGCTCACTGCAACCTCGAGCTTCCGGGCTCAAGCAGTCCTCCCACCTCAGCCTCCCAAACGTGGGATTACAGGCGTGAGCCACCGCGCCGGGCTCAGGCCTCCTTTTCTTTTCTTTTCTTTTCTTTTTGAGACGGAGTTTAGCTCTTGTTGCCCAGGCTGGAGTGCAATGGCGCGATCTCGGCTCACCTCAACCTCCGCCTCCTGGGTTCAAGCGACTCTCCTGCCTCAGCCTCCCAAGTAGCTGGATTACAGGCATGCGCCACCACGCCCGGCTAATTTTTTGTTTGTTTGTTTTTGAGACAGTCGCGCTCTGCCGCCCAGGCTGCCGTGCAGGGGCACGATCTCGGCTCACTGCAACCTCCACCTCGCGGGTTCAAACGATTCTTCTGCCTCAGCCTCCCGAGTAGCTGGGACTACAGGCGCTGCCACCACGCCCGGCTAATTTTTATATTTTTAGTAGAGATGGGGTTTCACCATGTTGGCCAGGCTGGTCTCAAACTCCTAATCTCGTGATCTGCCCGCCTCGGCCTCCCAAAGTGCTGGGATTACAGGCGTGAGCCACCGAGCCCGGCCTCAGGCCTCCTTTTCTACCTCCATAGAATGCAGTCTGCCTGGCCCACAGTCTTCTAAAAATTGCATTAGTTGCCAAAGTTTCAGAATTTGGAGATACCACATTAAAAATCCAGATTTCCTGGGGCCAGGCGTGGTGGCTCACGCTTGTAATCCCAGCACTTTGAGAGGTCGAGGCGGGCCTATCACGAGGTCAGGAGTTAAAAGGCCATCCTGACCAACAAGGTGAAACCATGTCTCTACTAAAAATACCAAAAATTGGCCAGATGCGGTGTCGGGTGCCTGTAAGCCTAGCACTTTGGGAGGCTGAGGTGGGCAGATTGCCTGAGCTCAGGAGTTCGAGACCAACCTGGGCAACATGGTGAAACTCCATCCCTACCAAAATACAAAAAAATTAGCCGGGTGTGGTGGCGCATGCCTGTAGTCTCAGCTACTCCTGGAGGCTGAGGTGGGAGAATCACCTGAACCTGGGAGGTGGAGGTTACAGTGAGCCGAGATCACACTACTGCACACCAATCTGGGCGACAGAGTGAGACTCTGTCTCAAAGGAAAAAAAAAAAAAATTAGCTGGGCTTGGTGGCATGCGCCCTACAGTCCGAGTTACTCCTGAGACTGGGACAGGAGAATCGCATGAACCTGGGAGGCAGAGGATGCAGTGAGCCAGCATCACACCACAGCACTCCAGAGCCAGACTCTGTCTCAAAAAAAAAATAAAGAAAATTTTAAAATCCAGCCGGGCACAGTGGCTCACACCTGTAATCCCAGCACTTTGGGAGGCCAAGGCAGGTGGGTCACCTGAGGTCAGGAGTTCGACACCAACCTGGCCGCCAACATGGTGAAACCCTATTTCTACTAAAAATACAAAAATTAGCCAAGCATGATGGCAGACGCCTGTAATCCCAGCTACTTGGGAGGCTGAAGCAGGAAAATCACTTGAACCGGAGAGGTGGAGGTTGCAGTGAGCCAAGATCGCGCCACTGCACTCCAGCCTGGATGACAAAGTGAGACTCTGTCTCAAAACAAAAACAAAAACAAAAAACAGATTAGGTTACCAAGGGATGGGAGGACACAGTTTGTGTGTGTGTGTGTGTGTGTGTGTGTGTGTGTAAACACAAGGGGGCTTCCTTTTGGGCTGATGAGAAATTGGCACTATAGTGGTGATAGTTTTGCAACATTGTAATAAAAGTCACTGAATGGTACACTTCAAAACGGTCAATTTTATATGAGTTTTATCACAATAAAAGAAGTAAAAGGAGGAAGATGCTTTACATAAAAACATTAAGCAAAACTTACATGTAGCATGCCAAAATAGCAAAACTCATAAAGGGATCCAAGAATGCCTAAAGTTTAGGGAATATTGCTTTGGCCAGACTACTTGAAAACAAATACAGTCCTAGGGTGGAGAAAGGTATCTGCCCCACCAAACCTGCAGAAGGCAGGGAGTCCCACAGCCCAGTGCGGGCCCTGTTTAGAAAGGTTCATCTACAGGTCAGATGCGGTGGCTCACGTCTGTAATCCCAGCACTTTGGGAGGCTGAGGTGGGTGGATCACCTGAGGTCAGGAGTTCGAGACCAGCCTGGCCAACATGGCAAAACCCCATCTCTACTAAAAAAAATACAAAAAGTTAGCTGGGTGTGGTAGCAGGCGCCTGTAATCCCAGCTACTTGGGAGGCTGAGGCAGGAGAATTGCTTGAACCTGGGAGGTGGAGGTTGCAGGGAGCTGAGATCGCACCATTGCAGCCTGGGCGACAGAGCGAGACTGTCAAAAATAAAAAATAAATAAAAAAAGAAAGGGGCATCCAAGTGGATCAAGGGCCTGAAATAAAAGGAGCAGGATGATATTTTGAAATATCTAACTTTGTTCTTTCTGCTCTAGAATTTCACACCCTGGTCCTGAGCCCTGCCAAAGGGCAGCCCAACTCATTGCCCCAGGAGATGAAAGCCACAGAGCATAAAGTCGGAACAAAGAAAGCAGGAACAAAGGACCCTGGCTTTCACCTCCTACAGCTCAGAATCCTCTGGGGAATAGAGCTTTGCAAAAATATTTCTGGGTTTGAGGAGGCAGGTCAAAAAGGCTGTGTAGGTTTGTCAAGCAAGAGGAGAGATGAGGGCCAGGTGTGGTGGCTCACACCTGTAATCCCAGCACTTTGGGAGGCCAAGGCAGGCGGATCATCTGAGGTCAGGAGTTCGAGACCTGCCTGGCCAACATGGTGAAACCCCGTCTCTACTAAAAATACAAAAATTAGCCAGGTGTTGTGGCACAAGCCTGTAATCCCAGTTACTCGGGAGGCTGAGGTGGGAGAATTTCTTGAACCTGGGAAGCAGACGTTGCAGTGAGCTGAGATTGTGCCACGCATTGCAGATTGGGCAACAGAGCGAGACTCCGTCTCAAAAAAAAAAAAGGAGAGATGAAGAGAAGCGTAAGTGAGGATCTCACTTGGTCTTCTATCTTGGAAAAAAATCTTTTCTTGCTGGGCACGGTGGTTCATGCCTGTAATCCCAGCAGTTTGGGAGGCTAAGGTGGGAGGATTGCTTGAGCCCAGGAGTGTCAGACCAGCCTGAACAACATGGTGAAACCCCATCTTTCCAAAAAGTAAAAAATTAGCTGGGTGTGGTGGCGCACGCCTGTATTTCCAGCTACTCTGGAGGCTGAGGTGGAAGGATCACAAACCTGGGGAGGTCAAGGCTGCAGTGAGCCGTGATAGTGCCACTGCACTCCAGCCTTGCTGACATAATAATACCCTGTCTCAAAAAAAAAAAAAAAAAAAAAAGCCAGGCGTGGTGGCTCACGCCTGTAATCCCAACACTTTGGGAGGCTGAGGCAGGTGGATCACTTGAGGTCAGGAGTTTGAGACCAGCCTGGCCAACGTGGTGAAACCCCATATCTACTAAAAATACAAAAGTTAGCTGGGCATGGTGGCAGGCGCCTGTAATCCCAGCTACTCAGGAGGCTGAGACAGGAGAATCACTTGAACCTGGGAGGCTGAGGTTGCAGTGAGCCAGGATCATGCCATTGCACTCCAGCCTGGGCAACAACAGCAAAACTCTATCTCAAAAAAATAAAAAAGGCCGGGCACAGTAGCTCATGCTTGTAATCCCAGCACTTTGGGAAGCCAAGGCGGGCAGATCATCTGAGGTCAGGAGTTCAAGACCAGTCTGACCAACATGGTGAAACCTCATCTCTACTAGAAGTAGAAAAATTAGGCATGGTGGTGTGCATCTGTAGTTCCAGCGACTCAGGACTCTGAGGCGGGAGAATTGCTTGAACCCTGGAGGCGGAGGTTGCAGTGAGCCATGATCATGCCATTGTACTCCAGCCTGGGCAACAGAGTGAGACAAAATAGTCTTTTCTTGGTGCCACATTCCCCTTCCAGCTACTGTGTCATTTCTTTGCTTCCCTTTATAACTAAATTCCAAAAAGTTGCTTATATTCACATCCCCAATTCCTCCCTTCCCTGTTTGCTCTTAACCCCCTTCAACTTCTTTTTCTTTTTTAGAGATGGGGTCTGGCTGTGTCACCCAGGCTGGAGCGCAGTGGTGTGATCATGGCTCACTGAGTCTCAAACTCCTGGGCTCAAGTGATTCTCCCACCTCAGCCTCCCAAGTAGCTG
The DNA here is from genome assembly GCF_000001405.40 of Homo sapiens. Lineage (NCBI taxonomy): Eukaryota > Metazoa > Chordata > Mammalia > Primates > Hominidae > Homo > Homo sapiens. Next base: position 179,673,721 of record NC_000005.10, on the reverse strand, counting down.
GGACTAGAGGCATGTACCACCACGCCTGCCTAATTTTTTGTATTTTTAGTAGAGATGGGGTTTCACCATATTGGCCAGGCTGATCTTGAACTCCTGTCCTCGGGTGATCTGCCTGCCTTGGCCTCCCAAAGTGCTGGGATTACAGGTGTGAATCGCCGTGCCCAGCCTAGTTTTTTGTTTTTTGTAGACCTGGGGGTCTTGGGCCAAGCGTGGTGGCTCACGCCTATAATCCTGGCACTTTGGGAGGCCAAGGCAGGAAGATCGCTTGATGCCAGGAATTTGAGAACAGCCTGGGCAACAAAGTGAATTCTTGTCTCTACAAAAAAAAAAGGCCAGGCACAGTGGCTCACGCCTGTAATCCCAGCATTTTGGGAGGCTGAGGTGGGAGGATCACGAGGTCAGGAGTTCAAGACCAGCCTGAACATGGTGAAACCCCGTCTTCATTAAAAATACAAAAATTAGCTGGGTGTGGTGGCACACGCCTGTAATCCCAGCTACCCAGGAGGCTGAGGCAGGAGAATTGCTTGAACCCTGGAGGCAGAGGTTGCAGTGAGCCGAGATCGCACCACTGCGCTCCAGCCTGGGCGACAGTGAGACTCCATCTCAAAAAAAAAAAAAAAGAAGAAGAAAGGAAAAAAAAGTCCAGGCGTGGTGGATCATGCCTGTAATCCCAACACTTTGGGAGGCCAAGGCGGGCAGATCACTTGAGGTCAGGAGTTTCAGAGCCACCTGGCCAATATGGTAAAACCCCGTCTCTACTGAAAATACAAAAATTAGCCAGGCATCGCCGGGCATGGTGGCTCACACCTG